>NC_000002.12:228398708-228701739 GCF_000001405.40 Homo sapiens | reverse complement strand
GGTAATGATTAAAGAGAGCTAACACATTTGGCAAAGAACAACATTGTCTACCCTTTGCTGGCTGCAGGGGAAAAAATGCTTCTCTGGGAATTCTAAACCCCAGCCCTGTCCACTACAGTGATTTGAAGTGGGGAGGTATAAATATTCTGTGATTTAGAAACACAGAACACCAGAAATGTATATAAAACAGGATTTATAGGGCTGTGGAGATACTGTTGTGTATTTTGCCAAAGACAAATCAAAACTCCTTGAAACCATGCTGTCAGGATTTCCAGATAGAACTCTTTTTAAGTTAGGTTTACAATTCAAATTTATAAAACATGCAAGAGAACAAGGTTCAGTAAGCAAGAGACAGTGCACATGAAGTAGGACGGGTAGATTCCGAAGAATTTCCTATAAAATAATTAGCCATAAAAGTAGTAAAACAAATTTAAAATGATTAAAGTATAAAAGCAGGTGTGGAAACTATAAGAAAATGGCACTATAGCAAAATAGAAAGATCAATTAAAAATAATAAAAGATGTCTTAGAAATTTAAATCACAATTGTTAAAATTAAAGTCTCAATGAATGGGTAAAATTGTAGATTAGATACAGCAGAAGAAAGAATTGGTAAGAAGGAAGATAATCTAGACAGTAGTTCCCAATCTTGGCTGTATTTTAGAATCTCCTGGGAATTTTTATAAACCCCTGCGTCCAGCTTACACCCCAGACCAATTAGATCAAAATCTTAAGTAGGGAGAATCTAGGCATCAGTATTTTTTAACATTCTGTGGATTATTTTAATATGTGTGGTTGTTCTAACAACAGCTGCCTCAAGAACAGCACACAGGAAACTGAGTAATGAAAATACCATGAGAAAAATCCTCAAAATAACCACAAACACACAAACACTACGTCTTTTTTTTTTTTTTTTTTTTTCCTTCCAGACAGAGTTTCGCTCTTGTTGCCCAGGCTGCAGTACAATGGCGCCGTCTCGGCTCACTGCAACTTCCACCTCCCGGGTTCAAGTGATTCTCCTGCCTCGGTGTCTTTTTAGTTCTGTATTTATTGAGTGCATTTTCTGTGCCAGGCACTCTGCCAGGTACAGGAGACAAAAAGACAAATGAAATGCAAAAACGAAGAATTTTAAGATGCGTCACAAAATCCAAACCTACTAATGTGCTAATTCTAACAGGAAATTAGATGGCAGCTGAAATTTAGCTCTAATATGGAGAAAAAGCCTTGTAATAGATGTACATTCAGCAATATTACCTCATTGGGGTATGCATGTGCAACTATTGTTTATTTTTTTCCCAATAACTGAAATCTCACGGGGCCTCAGTCCTCTATAATCTTTGCTCCTTCTGCTGTGGGGTTCCTAGCAGCACCTCAACCATGGCCACTCACCCAAGTCTTCATAAGTGTCTTCTGCATCTCCCCTTTTCTGGGGGACACTTACTGCATTTTCCCATTGGGAGAGGAGAGAATAATCTCCCCATGAGGGAATTCCAGTGGAGGGACTTCTCCCCACTGAATTCACCATTTTGTTCTATTCCCCTGCTAATGTGTGGTGGTGGAGGGAAAATGTGGGGTAGTGGCTGGTGTTAAGGTCTGAACTGGAGCCTCTCAGGAAATCTCTGGGAAGGTGGATGAAGCCCAGTTATGACGATCGCATGATCTGAGAATGCGTCATTCTCTGCTTTAGGCCATGCCTCATCTGGAATCACTGAAAAGACATCACCTCACACCTGCATGGCAATGAGGAAAATGATACGTCAACAACCCAATCTTAAAAAAAAATTAAAAATAATAAATTAATAAACCTTTTCTGCTTGCCCGATCCTTTTTCCACAATTAATAATTCATAGTGCCAATTCAAAAAATTAACATTGTACTTGTTATTTTTTTCATTAATCTTGTAACATTCTTGAAATATTGAAAAATGCCAACATTTCAGCATTATTATTTGGAATGAATTTCACTATAAAATGTATAATGCTGGTATTATTTATAAACAATCTGACAGTGTTATCAATATTCTCTAAGTCACTAGTTCACTATAGTTTATATCGATTAAATAATTCAAGTTGAAGACCATATGACCAGACAAAGCACATCTCATTACAGCTAGAGCCCCGATTCCTACCATTTTCTGCATTATACTACCACATAGTGGTTCCTTTTATTGTGGTACACCGACTAGGCTAATACCTCATTTGCCGTTATCAGTATTGTTATTAAAAAAAAAATCAGTGGGACAACAGCCCAGACATTAACACGTGTCCACCATTATACAACACTGTTTATCTATATTAACAAAAGACTCATACAGTTATTTCAAAAATCATAATAAAAGAGAAAAACCCCAGTGATTTTATTAACCTTTCTGGATGAGCTCTGTTTAATAAAGCCCAACAATATTATATTTTAAGATATTTGATAAAAAATATAAAATCAGGGAGGTAGAGAGTTCATTAGAAATAATTTCTTTAAATCTGTCATTTTTACGTTTGAGAAAACTGAGGCCCAGAAAGGGAAACATAAGCATTTGTTGAAGGCCTCTAAGCTTGTTGGTAAATTCACGTGAAAACCCCAGGAACTGTGACTCACACCTAGGCTTTTTCTGTAATGTGTCTCTATACATTAAGAAAACAGCCTCACTGATTTATTGGCAAGAGTGTCAGTAAGTCATGGAAATAATTGGCAAAATGAGATAAGCTCAAACATTATTTTATGGGATAAAATTAAAGGTCACCTGAAACAACGTGACATGTATACCTTGAGGTATGCTTGCCTGAAAAGCAAAAGTCTCCAGGGGCATAAACTCAGGTTAGTGCCTCAGCTCAACGTGAAGCTCATTACCATCCTATAACTTAATAAAGACATGTTTATTTTACTAAGACTAAAGAGATATCACAGTTACCATATTTTTCAGTTATATGAAAGAAAGATATTTTATAAACCTTAGGAAAAATAGAGCTAGGTCAAATTATCTTTATTCTTAACATTTAACCCCATATTGAAACAAAGGAAAGCCGCTGTCAGGACAGTTTTTACTTTTTTTCCCCTCAAATCTTTTTGTACGTTTTTATATTACAACTTCTCAATAGAAAAACCTGTTGGTTACATTTTCATGCAGTTTGAAAATGTTTTGTGTAGTGTTAAATCATGTGAAATTGACAATTCCAAGTCATATTAAATATGTGATGTGAGTAGATACTGTACTAGAATAATTGAGAAAATATTACTATAGTTATTACTTTTCTTTAATCTGTTTAGAAAATCCTAAATTGAAAAAAAAGAAAATACATTTTTAAATGATCAGAAATGCAGTTGTGTGGGACTGCTTTTATTTAAAGATTTCAAATGTATGCTTTTAGAAAGATCAAGATTATCTTCTCCTTGTGTATAATAACTAAGTTAGAAGAGAACAGAAGGAGTGTTCTACATAAAGTGTGGCCCTGGTCATAAAACTAGGTGATAAAAATAAGAAACTCTTCATGATAGATAAATTACCTAAAGGTAAAAGGAGAAGACGGTATCAAGCATCCCTTAGGAACTGGTAAGAAATGTAAATGATCAGACCCCATTGTAGACCTCTTGAATCAGAATTCTCATAATGGGGCCCAGAAATCTATTTAAACACCCAGGTGATTGACTTGCATGCTTAAGTTTTAGCAGCAGTGATCCAGGACCAAGACAGACCTTCCTCCTGCTTTGTCTTCAGATAACTTATTCCTAAAGAGCAAAACCTCATTGTTAACACTGACTGTGACAGTCATCCACTTATTGTCTCTCAATTCCAAATTCACTCTCCATTCCTTATTCTGCAGTAACTGAGATGGGCCCTGTGGATAGTTCTCCTTTGTCAGCTGGTACAATATTGTCAGTAGGCGGTGCTGCTGTACGTTTGCTCTAGGGGGAAAGGGTTTATTTTCCTGGTTTTGGTGCACATCTCTCACTAGGTTCCTCCACCATGAACATTCACCAGGGCCCAGTTCCTGCAGTACAGGTTGGCCAGCATCATGTACAGCCAGCAGCTTCCCTGATACCTCCTCAGGCGTCATCACAGCAGAGTGCCACCAGTACATCACCTCTCCATGAATCAATTGCCCAGGAATCCCTCAGGTAGCTTTGCAATGAGTCCAGAGATGCAGCACCTTTTTGTGAACAGATGTTTCCTGGCAACCCAAAATATTAGGTTTCCCACAAGTTGCATCAGCAAAGAGACTGTGATTTCTCTCCCATCCAGTGACCATTGCACACCCTTTCCAACAAGGAATGCAATTCGCCCCTGAAGAGGTGAGAGACGTGGAGGTGGCTCCTTCCCAGGTTCTCCATCTTGGACCTAGAGGGTTGTAGCTGCTTCTAATGTTTGCTACTTCTGTATTATGTTTTTTTGTTTTTGTTTTTATTATACTTATGTTCTAGGGTACATGTGCACAACATGCAGGTTTGTTACATAGGTATACATGTGCTATGTTGGTTTGCTACACCCATCAATTCGTCATTTACATAAGGTATTTCTCCTAATGTTATCCCTCCCCCAGCCCCCTACCTCCTGACAGGCCCCAGTGTATAATGTTCCCTACCCTGTGTCCATGCGTTCTCATTGTTCAACTCCCACCTATGAGTGAGAACATGTGGTGTTTTCTTTTCTTTCCTTGTGATAGTTTGCTTAGAATGATGGTTACCAGCTTCATCCATGTCCCTGCAAAGGACATGAACTCATCCTTTTCTATGGCTGCATAGTATTCCATGGTGTATATGTGCCACATTTTCTTAATCCAGTCTATCATTGATGGACATTTGGGTTGGTTCCAAGTCTCTACTATTGTGAATAGTGCTGCAAAAAACATATGTATGTATATGTCTTTATAGTAGCATGATTTATAATCCTTTCAGTATATACCCAGTAATGGGATCGCTGGGTCAAATGGTATTTCTGGTTCTAGATCCTTGAGGAATCGCCACACTGTCTTCCAGAATGGTTGAAATAATTTACACTGTCACCAACAGTGTAAAAGTGTTCCTATTTCTCCACATCCTCTCCAGCACCTGTTGTTTCCTGACTTTTTAATGATCACCATTCTAACTGGCATGAGATGGTATCTCACTGTGGTTTTGATTTGCATTTCTCTAATGACCAGTGATGATGAGTATTTTTTCATATGGCTGTTGCCTGCATAAATGTCCTCTTTTGAGAAGTGGCTGTTCATATCCTTTGTCCACTTTTTGATGGAGTTGTTTTTTCCTTGTAAATTTGTTTAAGTTCTCTGTAGATTCTGGATATTAGCCCTTGGTCAGATTGGTAGATTGCAAAGATTTTCTCCCATTCTGTAGGTTGCCTATTCACTCTGATGATAGTTTCTTTCACTGTGCAGAAGCTCTTTAGTTTAATTAGATCCCATTTGTCTATTTTGGCTTTTGTTGCCAGTGCTTTTTGTGTTTTAGTCATGAAGTCTTTGCCCATGCCTATCTTCTGAATGGTATTGCCTAGGTTTTCTTCTAGGGTTTTTGTGGTGTTAGGTCTTACATTTAAGTCCTTAATCCATCTTGAGTTAAGTTTTGTATATTGTGTAAGGAAGGGCTTCAGTTTCAGCTTTCTACATATGGCTAGCCAGTTTTCCCAGCACCATTTATTAAATAGGGAATCCTTTCCCCATTTCTTGTTTTTGTCAGGTTTGTCAATGATCAGATGGTTGTAGATGTGTAGCGTTATTTCTGAGGCCTCTGTTCTATTCCTTTAGTCTATATAACATTTTGGTACCAGTACCATGTTGTTTTGGTTACTGTAGCCTTGTAGTATAGTTTGAAGTCAGGTAGCGTGATGCCTCCAGCTTTATTCTTTGTGCTTAGGATTGTCTTGGGTATGTGGGCTCTTTTTTGGTTCCATATGAACTTTAAAGTAGTTTTCTCCAATTCTGTGAAAGAAGTCATTGGTAGCTTGATGGGGATAGCATTGAATCTATAAATTACCTTGGGCAGTATGGCCATTTTCACAATATTGATTCTTCCTATCCATGAGTATGGAATGTTCTTCCATTTGTTTGTGTCCTCTTTTATTTCATTGAGCAGTGGTTTGTAGTTCTCCTTGAAGAGGTCCTTCACATCCCTTGTAAGTTGGATCTCTCAGCAGAAACCCTACAAACCAGAAGAGAGTTGGGGCCAACATTCAACATTCTTAAAGAAAAGACTAAACATACTAATCAACCCAGAATCTCACATACAGCCAAACTAAGCTTCATAAGTGAAGGAGAAATAAAATCCTTTAGAGTCAAGCAAATGCTGAGAGATTTTGTCACCACCAGGCCTGCTGAACAGAAGCACTAAACATGGAAAGGAACAACCGGTACCAGCCACTGCAAAAATATGCCAAATGGTAAAGACCATTGATGCTATGAAGAAACCACATCAATTAATGGTCAAAATAACCAGCCAACATCATAATGACAGGATCAAATTCAAACATAACAATATTAGCCTTAAATGTAAATGGGCTAAATGCCCCAATTAAAAAACACAGACTGGCAAATTGGGTAAAGAGTCAAGACCCATCGGTGTGCTGTATTCAGGAAACCCATCTCACATACAAAGACTCACATAGGGTCAAAATAAAGGGATGGAGGAAGATCTACCAAGCAAATAGAAAGCTAAAAGAAAGCAGGGGTTGCAATCCTAGTCTCTGATAAAACAGACTTTAAACCAACAAAGATCAAAAGAGACAAAGAAGGCCACTACATAATGGTAAAGGGATCAATTCAACCAGAAGAGCTAACTATCCTAAATATATCTGCACCCATTACAGAAGCACCCAGATTTGTAAAGCAAGTCCTCAGGGACCTACCAAGACACTTAGACTCCCACACAATAATAATGGGAGACTTTAACAACCCACTGTCAATATTAGACAGATCAACAAGACAGAAGGTTAACAAGGATACCCAGGGCTTGAACTCAGCTCTGCACCAAGTGGACCTAATAGATATCTACAGAACTCTACACTCCAAATCAACAGAATATAAATTTTTCTCAGCATCATATTGCACTTATTCTAAAATTTACCAAATAATTGGTAGTAAAACACTCTTCAGCAAATGTAAAAGAACAGAAATCACAACAAACTGTCTCTCAGACCATAGTGCAATCAAATTAGAACTCAGGATTAACAAACTCACTCAAAAGCATGCAACTACATGGAAATTGAACAACCAGCTAATGAATGACTACTGGGTAAATAACGAAATGAAGGCAGAAATAAAGACGTTTTTTGAAGCCAGTGAGAACAAAGACACAACATACCAGAATCTCTGGGACACATTTAAAGGAGTGTGTAGATGGAAATTTATAGCACTAAATACCCACACAAGAAAACAGTAAAGATCTAAAATAGACTCCCTAATATCACAATTAAAAGAACTAGAGAAGCAAGAACAAACAAATTCAAAAGCTAGCAGAAGGCAAGAAATAACTATGATCAGAGCAGAACTGAAGGAGATAGAGACACACAAAAAAACCCTTCAAAAAAACCAATGAATCCAGGAGCTGGTTTTTGAAACAGTTAACAAAATAAATAGACTGCTAGCAAGAATAATAAAGAAGAAAAGAGAGAAGAATCAAATAGACGCAATAAAAAATGATAAAGGGGATATTACCACTGATCCCACAGGAATACAAACTACCATCAGAGAATACTATAAACACTACACAAATAAACTAGAAAATCTAGAAGAAATGGATAAATTCCTTGAAACATACACCCTCCCAAGACTAAACCAGGAAGAAGTTGAATCTGTGAATAGACCAATAACAGGTTCTGAAATTTAGGCAATAATTAATAGCCTACCAACAAAAAAATGTCCAGGACCAGATGGATTCACAACTGAATTCTACCAGAGGTACAATGAGGAGCTGGTACCATTCCTTCTGAAACTATTTCAATCGATAGAAAAAGAGGGAATCCTCCCTAACTCATTTTATGAGGCCAGCATCATCCTGATACCAAAGCCTGGCAGAGACACAACAAAAAAAAGAGAATTTTAGGCCAATATTCCTGATGAACGTTGATGCTAAAATCCTCAATAAAATACTGGCAAATCCAATCCAGCAGCACATCAAAAAGCTTATCCACCATGATCAAGTTGGCTTCATCCCTGGGATGCAAGGTTGGTTCAACATACACAAATCAATAAAAGTAATCCATTACATAAACAGAACCAATGACAAAAACCACATGATAATCTCAATAGATGCCTTCAGCAAAATTCAACAGTGCTTCATGCTAAAACCTCTCAATAAACTAGGTATTGATGGGACGTATCTCAAAATAATAAGAGCTATTTATGACAAACCCACAGCCAATACCATACTGAATGGGCAAAAACTGGAAGCATTCCCTTTGAAAACTGGCACAAGACAAGGATGCCCTCTCTCACCACTCCTATTCAACATAGTGTTGGAAGTTCTAGCTAGGGCAGTCAGGTAAGAGAAAGAAATAAAGGGTATTCAATCAGGAAAAGAGGAAGTCAAATTGTCTCTGTCTGCAGATGACATGATCGTGTATTTAGAAAACCCCATCGTCTCAGCCCAAAATCTCCTTAAGCTGATAAGCAACTTTGGCAAAGTCTCAGGATACAAAATCAATGTGCAAAAATCACAAGCATTCTTATACATCAATAACAGACAAACAGAGAGCCAAATCACGAGTGAACTCCCATTCACAATTACTTCAAAGAGAATAAAATACCTAGGAATCCAAGCTACTTCTGTATTCTTAAGAGTTCTCTCTACTTCTCTCTAGCCAATTCTTCAATACTCCAATCCCCCGTTTTAGTTATTAATTCTTTGCATTAAACTTTCTTTGCTCAACTCATTGTGTGGTTTCTGCCTCTCTAACTCGACCGACCCTGAATGATATGTTTAGCTTTTTCAGTAGATTGTTTTTTAGATTATAGGATCAATTCACAGATAGTATCAAGACACAACTCGTGGAAAGCCTAAACATATCTAAATTACATCATTATTTAGGTAGATGAGAAATTTGAATTTTTATAAAGAAAAAACCCTTGAAAGGCTGTGAATCTTGAGCAGCTTTTCACAGCATTCAGAGCTATCCATGCTGAACCCCTCTTTGCACCTAGCAGTAAAGTAATAACTTACAGGTGTTTAGTGCTTTATAGTTTTCAAGAATTTTATTAATGGTACTGCTTTAAGTTTATTTCTACAGTAAGAATTACATTCTAAAATCACATAATAAATAGAAAGTGCTCCAGGTGACAAAATGACAGATTACGATCTAGAAGAGTATTGGGCTCCAAATACTGCTTATTTCTGTCTTCAGAGTAAAACCCTGATGATGGGATGGCCCCAAAGAGCTCAGTAGGAGTGAGCCGCAGTGATTCCCTCTGCTCTGGACAGATCTTCTCTGCCTTGGGGCTCTCACTGCAGCTTGGGCTTCTTTCTGTCCCCTCACACTTAATCATCCAGAGTAGCAGGTCCTCCCCTGGGAACATAAGCCACAGGCCCAAATGACTTAAGACCTGAGGAGTACAGTCACTCCAAAGGGAAGGTCAGAGGCCTGCTGGACATCCTTGTATATCTTATTGTAGTATATGTTCTGGGATTTTAAAGCAAGCAATGCGAATATACTTGAATAGATAAGAGTACAAAATAAGTACAGGAAAGAACAATAAGAACTCATTAAAAAGAATGCAGTGGAACCAATAGATACGAAAGGTATTCAAATTTTAGAATGAAACTTCCCCAAAGTTGATACTGCTGACAATCAAATAACTCAACAGAAAGATTGGAGTGAGAGACTCTCCTAGAAAGAGTCCACAGAGATTCAGAAACAAGAACAATAAATTGATAGATATGGAGGAGAGAAGTACCAAAATCCAGATAAAATGGGATCTAGACGGAAAAGAAGAAAGGCATAAGGAAGATATTTGAATAAGTAATAAATATAAATTCTCCAGAAACAAAGAAAACTGAAAGGTCTTATACTGACGACACCACAGGGTGTCAAACGAAAAAGAAAAAGAAAACTGACATGGACAAGCAGGATAGTGAAACTTCAGAATATCTAAGACAGAGAGAAAAATAGTAGATCATATAATAACAAAAAAGGAATCAAAATGATATCAGACTTGTCAATAGCAATACTGGATGCATGAAGAAATTAATTTCTTAAGGGTATTGAAGGTAAAGAAACTGACCTTTTAATTTTATATCCTATCGAATGGACGTTGAACTGTAAGAGATTATCATTAAATTTTACTAAGAATATTTTCAAGCTTAACAGGATTCATTTAACAAAGACCTGCAATAAAAATACTCCTGAATCATAAACAAGGATATGAAGCCAGGGAGAGGCTATAGAAAGTAATGTATTCTCCTGTGAGAGAAGAAAAAAAAAAAAAAACACTAAAGAAATGGGAAATTATTTCCAGAACACCATCAAAGTAAAATCCTAGAAAAAAATTAGTTTTATACTATCCTTCTCCAGAGTTCATTTGATATTTCCTCTAACCTCAGCCCAAATCTCAGATGATGTTCTGTACCCAGTGGGGTGACCAAAACTCTTATTCCTAAGGGATCTGGGCCCTTTGGGATGCTTGCTATAGGGGGGTTGCTATAAACTTCTATTAACTTTTACATTAATAGTAACAGGCATTCAAAGGGTTCCCTCCTTGCATCCCTCCTTGCATCCATGTTGTAGTAAAGCTCTGTCTCCTTGATAATCAGGAGCAGTCTCAGTCCAGCCCACACAGCAAGCCCCTTTAGTTATTCATCCAGAATAAAGGCCAGAAGGGCGCTGGCCTTAACTCTGGTTCCTTGGCGGTAGTGATTGCGCCTGAGGGTGGGGGAATGCATTCTTCCTTTACATTGCTTTTGCCAGAGGGTGTGCAGGAGGTCAAGTGTCACAGTACGGGGCCTCTGTTTGTGGCCAGGGTTTCTTCATGAGTCTCCTTATTCCTCAGGGCGGGTTGTACCAGGTGAGATCTAGTCTTCCGGTGGGGGAGCATGGCTGGTGGGCACCCTCTGTGCGTGTGAGCTGTGTCCCTCTGCTGTGTCTCCCCAGCTAGGACGGCCTAGATGATGAAAGAAAGGCCTGTCTCTTGCAGATGAAGCTCATCTTCGTGATTGCTAATCACATTTCCTGCGGGCTCACCATGTGTCAGGCAGCTTTGCAAGGTGCTTTTGTCTAATTCAGCCTCACAGGCACATTCTCAGGAAAGCGCTGTGTCCTTCTTTGCTGATGAGCAAAAGAGTCCAATGGGATGAAGTCGTCTCTTCCAAGGTCATGGAGCTAGGAAGGGGTGGAGCTGTCACCCAAATCAGGGCCTCAGTTTCTATCTGGAAGACTGTGCTAGGTGACATCGCTGCAGCAGTGTTTCTCAACCAAGGGCAATTCTGTCTCCTAGGGGACACTGGGCAATGTCTGAGACATTTTTGGCTGTCACATTTGGGGGTGCTACTGGCATCTGGCAGGTAGAGGCTAGATCCTGCTGACCATCCTACAAAGCATGGGGCGGTCTGCCCTTCCCCTCCCCCAAACAGTTTACCCAGCCAGCATCAACAGTGTGGAGGCTCAACAACCCTGCTAGAGAGGTCTCATGTCCCCTGCTTTCCATATCCCCGGCCTCTGCCCCGTCCTGGTCCTCGCCTTCTCTCATTAAGATGGTGCTGCGGGTTCCTCATGGATTTCTCACCAGCACTGGGTCCCCTGCCTGTCTTTTCTCCACCCAGAAACTCACCTAATTTTCACAAAACACAAACTGGATTTTATCTTTCCCAGCTTAAAACACTTGCAGGATTCCCCTTTCCTTTGAAATAGAACGGCACTCTTCATCCTGGCACACAGGCTTGGCACTCCAGGGCCCCTGCTTACCTGTATTGTGGCCTCATCTCTCATCACTGCCCTTTCTGGGGTCTGTTTCAGCAAAATGAAGCTTATGACAGTCAAGCGAGCCTCTTCCCTCCTTCCGTCCTGGATCTCAGGGTCTCTACTTTCCAGTCCATTCTTCCTTCACACCTAAAGGGATCTTCTCCCCCTCTTCCTGGACTACTTGTAGATTTCAGGGGTTAGGACGGCTTCGTCTGTCGTCAGTTAGTTCCAACCCTAACGGACTTGTTGACCTTAGACAAGGCATTTAATAGAGTTGTGCCTCACTTTTTCTTTTTCCATCTGACAAATTTGGGATAACAAATGTGTTCATGTCATGGGGCTTTTGTGAGAGTGCAGAGAGATCGTGCCTATAGAACACGCAGCACGGTCTCTGGTATATTATAAGATCTAGGCAAAAAGTAGCAATACATTATTTTTAATGTGGTTAGTATTATTCTAAGGCTATCACTTATTCAGAGAGCTGGGCTTTAGGACAATTCTGCGATTTGGCACCAGCGTTGCCATAAATCCCGAGCCTCCCCACTCAGGAGATCAGGCAGGAGCAGATGAAGGGAGGGGCCTCCAGGAGGCAGGAATGGGCGTGATAAATGGGCTGGGGTCTCCCTCCAGTGGCAGCAAGGTGGAAATGATGGAGGAAGGCGCCTTTGTTCTTAGTGGTCTATGAACGTGACCACACAGGATCCACCCCAGGCCAGGGTCTCTGGGGAGCTCCTAGACTACCGGAAAATCATGGTGAAATATAGTTATAGGACTTTCACTGTGGTAGGTAAAGCCTCCAAGCTCCTCCCAACTCCCCACTGCCTGGCCATTATTTATTCATTCATTTAAGGCTGAGTTAAGCCTCCATGTCTCCCTCCCATTTTTACTTTCCCAGGATGAATTAGGTACATCTCCACTGTGTTCCCAAAGACGCTGAGGATGCAGTTATTGAAGTTGGTGCGCATTTACAGACTCCCCCCCTTGGTGAAGGTTTTGTCCCAGACTCTGGTGACAAAGCATTGTCCTCTCAGACTCAGTGGAAGAGAGAGACAGACACATACCAGGGATCGACAGCTGGAGTGTCAGGCTGTGACAGGGTAAGCCCAGGGATCGGGGGAGCCGAGAGAAGGCATCAGGACACCCATAGCATGGCGAGGGGTGCAGAGGAGCAGGAAGGCCTTTACGGAAGAAGCTACATTGGAGCTATAAGATGAGGAGGAACTGGCGAGTAAAGAAGGAATTTGCAGTATACATGGATACAGAGATAAAGGGGTGACCCGACACCCAAGAAGAAGCATATGGCTTCACCAGAGATTGTGAGGCATCTGAGATGATGCAATGCAGTCAGATTGTTTAGCAAATGCACAGAGCCTAAGATGATGAGTTGAGTGTCTGGACTTTCAACCCATGCTGTGTCACAACAGGCTTCACTCAAATGAGCTGTGGTTGCCTCTTTTTGGAAACTCTTCCTTCCTTCAGAGCTATCCATGTGTACACAGTCATGCGCCACATACTATGTTTCAGTCAACAGCAGACTGCATATCCAATTACTGTGCCTTTTCTGCGTTTAGATTCACAAATACTCTTGTGTTACAATTGCCTACAACATTCACTACACTAACCTGCTATACAGGTTTATAGTCTAAGAGCAATGGCTACACCATATAGCCTGGGTGTGTAGTAGGCTATAAAATCTAGGTTTGTGTAAGTACACCCTACAATAGTCACACAACAAAATTGCCTGATGACACAGTTCTCAGAATGTGGATTCCTGTTGTTAAGTGACACACAGTTGTGCCGGGGGGGAAGATCATTCCAGGCAGAGTGTAAAACAAAAACAAATGCAGAAGGCTGGGAGTGGGCTTGGCTTCATCAAGGAACAGCAAGGAAACCAGTGTTGCTGCTGCCACCAGGGTTTTCACTCCTATACAGAGAAGCATCTTTGGGGTCTCCTAACTCCCACTTCATTATTGTTTCAAGGATAATGATTGAATCTATGAGACGATGCAAGATAAATTACCCTGAAGGCCAAGCCAACAGCAAAGAGTAAATCCTACAGTTACTGTTAGGACACAATAATAACGAGAACATTTACAAGGGGAGAATACTTGTTTGTTTGCTTGTTTTTAATGAGATTTTTAATTTCTCTGGGTCTCTGACTCTGGACACTAGATCACTGCTAAAGTGTGATGCCTGCAGTTCCTCAGGGTGTGGGTGCCTAAAGGACAGAGGCAGAGAGAGAACCACCGTCACTCTATAGCACACACTATTGGAAAAAGGGGAACCCTTGGAAACATTTTCTGATGTCAGGTTTCCAAGGGAAGGGACCCTGTTTTCTTCACCTCTGTAGATGATATATAGTTGGCTACTGTTCTGTTATCCACTCTGACAATCTCTGTGTTTTCATTGGTGCATATAAAGCACTTATATTCAAAGTGATTGTTTATATAGTTAGATTAGTATCTATCTTATTTGTTACTATTTTCTATTTATTGCCCTTCCTTGTCCTGCATTGCTTTTTTTTTTTCTTTTTCTCTTTTTTCTTTTAGAGACAGGGCTTTCCTATGTTGGCCAGACTGGTCTCAAACTTCAGGCCTCAAGTGATTTGCCTGGTTTGGCTTCCCAAAGTGCTAGGTTTACAGGTGTGAGCCACTACACCCAGCTGCATTCCTATTTTTGTCTTTCACTCTTTCTGCCTTTCATGTTTTTTATTTGTTTGTTTGTTTGTTTTTGCGGAGTCTTGCTCTGTTGCCCAGGCTGTGCAGTGGTGCAATCTCGGCTCACTGCAACCTCCGTCTCCCAGGTTCAAGTGATTCTCCTGCCTCAGCCTCCTGAGTAGCTGGGATTACAGGCACGCACCACCATGCCTGGCTAATTTTTGTATTTTTTGTAGAGATGGGGTTTTGCCATGTTGCTCAGGCTGGTCTTAAACTCCCGACCTCATGATCCACCCCTCTTGGCCTCCCGAAGTGCTGGGATTATAGGCATGAGCCACCATGCCTGGCCCATGGTTTTGAATTGAGTATTTTGTATAATGCTTTTTTTTTCCCCTTTCTTATCAGTTAAAATTCCTTTTTCACTTTTTTTAGTGGCTATCCTAAAGTTTGCAATATACATTTACAACTAATCCAAGTCTGGTTTCAAATGTCACCCAGTTCCTCCCTCTTGTCTCTTGATTCATCTATGTTATTGATTTCATTCATACACACGCATATGTTAAGTATAAAATACATATAAGACATATACATAAGCACATGTAATTGAATTCATCGTTGATGTGATGATTTTGAACAAATTGTTTTCTGTTAAATCAGGTAAGAATAAAAAAAGTATTTATTTTACCTTCAATTATTTCTTCCTCAATGTTCTTCCTTTCTTATGTAGATCTGAGTTTCTGACATATTATTTTCTTCTCTCTAAGGAACTTCTTTTGACTTTTTTTGTAAGGAAGGTCTACTGGCAACAAATTTCTTCAATTTTTGTTTGTTGAAGAAAGCATTTTTTTTCTTTTTCAGTTTTCAAAGATAATTTCACAAGGTATAGAATTTTAGGTTGGCATTTTGTTTGTTTGTTTTTCCTCAACTCTTTAAATATTTTACTCTACTCTCTCCCTGCTTGTATTGTTTCTGAGAAGTAATATGGAATTCTTACCTTTGCTCCTTGATAGTTAATGTGTCTGTTTCCTCTGGCTTCTTTTGGGACTTTATTTTTATTTTCTGTAGTTTGAAAATAATATGCCTAGGTAAAGGGTGTGTGTGTGTGTGTTTGTGTGTGTGTGTGTGTGTGTGTGTGTGTGTGTTCTAATTTATCCTGCTTGGTGTTCTCTGAGTTTTTTGGACCTGTGGTTTGGTATCTGACATTAATTTTGGGAAATTCCCATCATTATTTTTTCAAATATCTTCTGTTTCTTTTGTTTTCTATATATATTTTCTACTTTTATATATTATGGGGGTACAAGCACATTTTCTTACAAGCATATATTGCATAATGGTGAAGTGTGGGCTTTTAGTGTACCCATCACCCAAATAGTGAACATTGTATTTAATAGATGGTTTTTCAACCCTTATGCTCCTCCCTTCTTCCCACCTCTTTTAGTCTTCAGTGTCCTTTATTCCATTCTGTACGTCCATGCACACCCATTGTTTAACTCCCAGTTACAAGAATATTTGATATTTGACTTTCTGTTCCTGAGTTATTTCACTTAGGCTAATGGCCTTCAGTCATCATACATATAGTCATTATACATATCAGTCATATACATATCAGTCATTATACATACAATGTATATACGTATAACATATATACATGTATATAATGTTTATACATATACATTATATATGTTACATATATACACCACATTTTTCTTTATCCAGTCCTCTGTTGATGAACACTTTGGTTGATTCCATATCTTTGCTACTGTGAATAGTGCTGTGATAAACACCCTAGTGCAGATGTCTTTTTATATAATGATTTCTTTCACTCTTTCTTCTCCTTCTGGTATGGGTATTACATATACGTTACACCTTTTGCAGTTGTGCCACAGTTTGGAATATTCTTTTCCGGTTTTTTTAACTCAGTCTGTTTTTCTGTTTGCTTTACAGCTTTGAGGGTTTCTGTTGAATAACCTTCAAGCACAGGGATTCTTTCCCCAGCTTGAGAACATCTACTTTTCCAGCGTCCAGTCTGCTAATAAGCCTGTCAGAGTCACGCTTCATTCCTCGTATGGCATTTTTTTTTAATCTCTAGCATTTCCTTTTTGGTGCTTTCTCAGGATTTCCATCTCTCTGCTCACGTTGCCTGTCTGTTTTTGCATACTGTCCACTTTATCCACTACAGCCCTCAGCATAATCATCATAATTGTTTTAAATTACCAGTTTGATAACTCCAATATTCCTGCCATATTTAACTCCAGTTCTGATATTTGGTCTATTTCCTCAAGCTGAGTTTGTTTGTTTATTTGCCTTTGAGGATGGCTTGTACTATTTTCTTGCTAGCTGCACATGATGTAGCGGGCAAAACAAACTGCAGTAAATAGGCCCTTATTAAGGCAACGGTAATGTATGGGAGGAGGGGGAGTCTCCTATCGTCCTATTATTAGATGTCAGTCTTTTGCTGAGCCTGTGTTTCTGAACTGTGACCTCACAAGAGCTTCTCAGTCCCCTAATCTTTGGTGGGACAGGATGGCTAAAGTGGACTGAAGTTGAGTATTTCCCATCCGGGGCCCAGGTCAGTTAAGTTCCAATGAAACCCCAACAGGTTAGGGTCTGGTAAAACAATTCCACTTGAGCGCAGGCCTGGTTAGGGAAAATAGAATGTTCTAGCATAGTTTAAAATGGCAACTTTCCTCCCCCAACCTACAGGAAGCATAAGGGAATTTTTCTCTCATCTTCTCTGTGAGAACCTGGTCAAGCTCCTGGAGGTAAAACCCCAAACAGTGTTGGGGGCCCTTATGACTGAGTCCCCTGGAGTGTTTAACCCTCAGATGTGTCCACACGAAGCCTCCAGCCATTCATCCATTACAGTTCAGGTTTCCCTACCCTGGCATGGGTTCTCATTATGGTTTCTGCTCCTGTGTTTCTGCTCTAGTAAGTTGTGATTCTCTGTTTTCAACTTTTTGTTGGTCCTTCCAATTTTGGGGGCAGCAGTTTTCCCTATGATGAGTTGATTTTTCAGTTTGTTCAGCTTTCTACTTTTAGGATGGAGTGGCCACTTCTAGCTTCTTACAGAGTCATAAACCAGGAGTCCTCTACTGGATGTGCAGAGCCCAGCAAAATGTCTGGTGCATAAGGAGGCTCAATAGATTTGAACTGAACTGACCAGGGTTGAAGCAATAGGGACCCTTTTGTTAACCCAAGATGAGGCAGACAATCCAGCCATGAGTTTCCAGTTAGCATTTCTCGGCAGGGGCATCAAGGGAGCTGGTTGGTGGCACCCCTGCCTCTTTACAGAAGCCTCCAAATGCAGCCGCACCCTTGGCCATCACCAAGCTGTGCAGCTGGAGGTCGAAGCCTGGAACTCTTGCCACGCTGGGTCCTCACCCACATCCTCGCAGCCCCAGTGGGTTCAGCTCTCAACTTGTTCCAGTCCCCACTGGTAACCACCAACACATGCCTCAAGAAGAGGTGGCTTATTGAGTTTGGTGGCAAATGAAATCGGTTTCTTAGCTTCCTTTCTTTTTCCTCACTTCTCTCCTCTCCCTCAGGAAACCTGAGAATTCAATGATGTATTGGAGAAAACAAGTGCCTGCAAACTGTTTGCAGATATGTGGTCTTTGGTCTGAGCTACCATAGAAAAGCTTCCCGCAACCAAATGAATTACAGACACTCAGCAAAAGAAACTCTTTGCAAATGTGATTATTATAAGTGCCAGATCGAGTTCACACACTCACTTCTGGAATGACTGACAAATGTCATGACACAGGTTTTGGGTATTTTTTTTTTATTACAGAGTCATACATTTATATAGTAATGCGTTCATTTTTCCCTTCGAGTTGTTCATCTTGGATGCTGACATTTATTGGGTGATCCCACTAACATGTGGAGTAATGGAAAGATCTGGAGGCTCCACCACCCTCATGTTGTTTGCTGTTCACTAACCATGAGCAGGTGCTTGAACCTCAAGCACTCACTCTCCTCACTTTATCTTGTCTGAAAAATGGGCATAATAGGCCCTCTCCTAACTTCTTCCCAAGGTAATATTAAGGATCTATGTGGACATAAGAATTTTTTTTTTTTGAAGTGGAGTCTTTGTCGGTTGCCCAGGCTGGAGTGCAGTGGCTCAATCTTGGCTCACTGCAACCTTCACCTCCTGGGTTCAAGCAATTCTCCTGCCTCAGCCTCCTGAGTAGCTGGGACTGCAGGCACCCACCACCATGCACGGCTAATTTTTTTTGTATTTTTAGTAGAGCTGGGGCTTCACTGTGTTGGCCAGGCTGATCTTGAACTCCTGACATCAAGTGATCCACCCACCTCAGCCTCTGAAAGTGCTGGGATTGCAGATGTGAGGCACCTTGCCCGGCCTGAAAACATGTTATCAAATAAGATTAAAGTTTTAAATTTGTGAAATGAAATACTATTGTCAAATATTTCTCTAGCCTTTCTGCATTGTTTAGTTTAAATCTTTCTTGACTTTAGACTTTTGGTCATATTTTCATCATTCATTAGTGCCCCAGTGTTTAATTAAACAAATAAATCAAGGAAAACAAAACAAGTTTCCACAGATCTTTTGAAGACTATATTAATTTTAAGTTGTATTTATAATTCACAGTTTAAGTTATACCATTAATGATAAAGCTAAATTTTCTTTAGATTATTTCCTTTCTTAACCTTGATCATCTATTGGAATGTAAATAGTATTGAAGCTAGCTTTGAAATCCGGGCACCAAAATTAGCCAAAATGCAATGTCAGAGCATTTCCCCCTATTTTCTAAAGATAAGAACTTGTGGGCTCACGAGGTCTAGGAAGATGGGTGGAGAACCCCTTCTCTCACACATGCTATCCAGACATCACTATTCTAATCTGGTGTCAGGACACCCACAGAATGGTCCCCTCTGAGAAAAGCACTCAAGCAGGCCCTTCTAGTAACAGGGCTTCCAAGACCACCTCCCTGGTCTCCAGCCCTCACCCTCACACACTTTCTCTTTCCTGGTCCTGTCACCTCAGGGGGCAGAGCCAGCCCAAGACCTAAGTTTCTGTTTCTGGGGAAACTCTCAGCCCCACGACCTTGCACTACTTCAGAGTAACCACTACCCTCTTCAACTTCTAAAGACATATGACTCCCAAACTACCTCTCTTCCCTTTAATAACACCTATCCCATTGTATGGCCCAAAATACCCTAAACTAAGGTCTGAGCAGGTTTTAAAAACAAAAACAAAAGCAAGCATTACTTGTTAGGAAGCGACTCTTACAGAAGGGGGCTAGAAGGAGACGAGAGCAAGGAGTAAAACCAGCTTTTGTCCCATCAGCACCGAGGGGTGACAGATTAATCTGCTCTCCCCCCAAAAATGTGCAAAACCATTAATGCACAGATTCATCTTCATAGTGAGCTCCTTATACCTGCCTTTGCCTAGAACTAACCGGTGGTGAGATGGGTAATAGACACTGCTCAAGAAGGCATAAGCACTATTTTTGCTGTTACCTGGAATCTCCCAGGGCCGTGTTTGTGGCTGCTTCGTGAGGTCTGTCTCTGAAGCTGGACTTCCTTCCCTTCTTCATGCAGTCGCTATTCCTTGGGTTGGATCTGGCATGCCTCCTGGTTTTCTTTGTTTTTCTTCCCTCTAGTGTTTAAATCAGGTACAACATATCCAATCCTTCCTAGCATTAGGCAACTTGAATCATGAAACTAAAAATGCTAAACGTTATCTTTGCTATAATTCAGTTAATTTCTCATTTTAAGATGTCCCCAAACCTCAAGTGACTCATTTAGGAGGCAGGTCTGTTTGGATTGAGCAGAGAATTACTGTTTTATTTTAAAAGTCTACCTCTGGTTATATTATCTATCTTATGTCTAATTTCATTAATGATATTTTCTCTTTCACTGCAATTAAATTTAACCAAGGTTTGTTATTATATTTTCTTCAAAACTAGCTATTGAGGCTACTTGTCAACACTGCTCCTTTTATATTTAGGAATTCATAAATTTAAACATATATCTCAATTTTGGTAGAATTTTAGATTATTTTCAAATTTTCAGAGATGGATATTTAGTTTACATTTTTAAAAAGAATAAAGTCTAATAATAATAATAATGGTAATAACTTATCTCTGAGCTCAGCTTGGTGATAGCCTTTGAATCTTTATGTAAGCCACACACATAAAAGTCAGACAAGTAGATATTTACAGTTTTTAAAAATCTGTAACTCCTATGGTTTTCTTTGTTTATATATTCACTATAATAAGCATTTCTATTTCAATCACATTGTGGTAAAAAGTATGCAGTGTAAAAATGGGAAAACTTGGAACTTTTGAGGACTTACTCATGATCTAATGTCTTCTATGAATCACTTGTAATTTTTTAAAAAATTTGGTGATGGAAGGTTTTTATTCTATCAACAGGATCCAAAGGTTGATTCCTATTGGATCGACTGTATAATTTATATTATAGAAATATTTCAGGTCCTTGTTTATCTTTCATGAACTTGCATCCATAAGGACTATTACTTGGGAATTATTTTTTATTATTCCATTTTTGCTCATTTATTTTCATATATAATAAAAGTAATGAATGTTTATTTGGGGAGACCTGGTAGCTATTGAGAAATCCAAAAAATAAAATGAATTACCTGTAATATAAGAAGAAAAGTCAGCCATTCAGAAATTTGAGTATTCCCCTTCCCATCTTTTAATATCTATATGTATACACACATATATATGTTAATATATGAGAGATGGCCTTATGACATATAAAGTATATTTATTCTAAACAATAGCGAGTAAATTTCTTTTTCCGGTTTTTAATATTATTTAATTGGAAGGTCAAATAATATGAATATTTTGCAGCTCTTTAAATATATTGCCAAATTGCTTTCTAGGAAGATTGTATTGATTATACTTCCACATAATATATATAAAGTATCTATTTTCCCACATCTTTAATTCAACAGGATATTATAATTTTTAAAGCTTACTGACTTAATTGATAAAAATTGTCATTACCATTTTCATGGGCTTACTTTTGATGGATAGCGAGGTATATTTTTTTAATCTACTTACTGTGTGTTTTCATTTCTTCATATTTATAGAATAAATTTACTTTCCTTGTCACTTTTTCTATTAGGGTTTTCTTGATTTTTTAAAAATTTTTATTTATTTAAATTTTTTGAGATGGAGTTTGGCTCTTGTTGCCCAGACTGGAGTGCAATGGCACAATCTCGGCTCACTGCAACCTTTGCCTCCCAGGTTCAAGCTATTCTCCTGCCTCAGCCTCCTGAGTAGCTGGGATTACAGGCACCTGCCACCACGCCCAGCAAATTTTTTTGTATTTTTAATAGAGACAGGGTTTCACCATGTTGGCCAGGCTGGTCTCAAACTCCTGGCCTCAGGAGATCCACCTGCCTCAGCCTCCCAAAGTGTTGGGATTACCAGCATGAGCCACCACACCCGGCTGATTTTTCTTTTTTTTAATTGATTTATAGGTGCTCTTTGTATATCAAATATACTATGCCAAATATTAGCAGTGAAATCTATAAAGTCGAAGCAGTTAGAAGTATAGTCAAAAAGGGATCAAAATCACAACCACAGTGAATTACATGTACTCCATTCAGTCTTTAACATATCTTGTAGCCCAAAATAATGGGGTATGGTGGATTTGAAAAATAATAATAATAGAACTAATGAGTTTTATTTTTATTTTCTTGTTCTTTCTTCAGAAATATTAGTTATCTGTATACCAGATCTTTGTTGCCTGATAAAGAGCTATTTTTTTCTTGTTGGTTTTCATGTCTTTTCTTCTTCTTCATCTTTATTTTGAAAGAAACTTTCTACCTTGTTCTTTACCTCATTGTTTAAATTTCCTGCAGTTGATGACCGTCTGGGAAACGTCTAAATGTTTATAATTAGTTATGCCACTTTAGTGTCCTCAAGTTGTTGCCTTCCTTTTGTCCAATTCCTCTTTCTTCTCAGTTTGCTATCATATCTCTCTTTTTTTTTGAGAGGCAGTCTCACTGTGTTGCCCAGGCTGGAGTGCAATGGTGCGATCTCGGCTCACTGCAACCTCTGTCTCCCTGGCTCAAGCGATTATCTTGCCTCAGCCTCCATAGTAGCCTGGATTACAGGCGCCTACCACTATGCCTGGCTAAGTTTTGTATTTTTAGTAGAGATGGGGTTTCACCATGTTGGTCAGGCTGGTCTCAAACTCCTGACCTCAGGTAATCCACTTGCCTTGACCTCCCAAGTGCCGGGATTACAGGTGTGAGCCGCTGCACCCAGCCATCATCTTTTATGCCTTGACTGATAAAAACCATGTTTGATTTTACTGCCTTGAGATGGAAAGAAAATCTTCCCATTTAAAGTGTCTAGACCTAAACCTAAAAGTGTTTTTTCTTTCCTGTAGTAATTTCTATTTATTCCTCTATCTTTCTCATGCTAAGTTTCTCTCCTTTTATGTTGTATAATATTTTGATATTCTTTTTTGTGGTTGCTGTTGTTTATTCCCGAATAAAGTCAGCTCTATCTTTGCCTACTACTTGGCCAAAAGATAGCATGGTTCTGCCAGTGCTTTGTAGATTCTGTTAGATCATTTCTTACAGCAAGTTCGAGAACCAGATTATGCAAATTGTTATTACTAATCCATTGCTCAACTAGTCTAAGATGTACTAAAAACAGGAAATTCATCTTCCTTATATAAAATATCTGTGTAAGAGGCTAGGTTTCCCAGATCTGGACTTTTGTTGAAGCCTGACCTGCTCTCCAGCTATTGGTTTAGCTGCATCTGGAATCCCTGCTGATGTTGGTACCAGCCAAGGTGTCAGTGTCTCAATTGATTAGGGAAGTTCCATTAAATCTAAAGAATGAATGTCACATGGTGGATATCAGCCTGCTAAGTTAATGAGAAGCTGAATCAGCAAAATCCGTAGCCCAGAGGTTGACATGTTATACACATCCACTCTCAGCCTTCTCACAGATGCCCCGGGAGTCCGTTAAACTTTGAAAATCAAAAGCTCCAAGGAAAATGGCATTCCTTCCTGCCATGCTCCTCTGTGATCTCGGTTCCCTGCAATTGTGCTGGTGTCTTTACTGGCCCTTTGGTATTTCCATGTCTTTGCTTTATGCTGCAGCGTCTCTTCATTAGACAAAGTTGACTTTCTTGTGTGGCTATTGTTTATCTTTCTTATCAATTTACTCCAATGAGAATGAAAGAGATGCACCACGTGGCATTTGTCATTTTATCACTACACACTGTGGGGGGAGTTTCTTTATCAGTACTATAGATCCCTTGGATGTCAGAAGTTCCACATCCTAAGATCAAAATCTGAAGGGTCACATTAATAACAGTCCTTAGGCCAAGCGCGGTGGCTCACGTCTGTAATCCCAGCACTTTGGGAGGCCAAGGCAGGAGGATCACCTGAGATCAGGAGCTTGAGGCCAGCATGGCCAACATGGTGAAACCCCGTCTCTACTAAAACTACAAAAATTAGCTGGGCGTGGTGGTGTGTGCCTGTAGTCCCAGCTACTCGGGAGGCTGAGGTAGGAGAATCGCTTGAACCTGGGAGGTGGAGGTTGCAGTAAGCCAAGATCGCACCATTGCACTCCAGGCTGGGCAACAGAACAAGACTTGGTCTCAAAAATAAATAAATAAATAAATAAATAAAACAGCCCTTAGTACCAATGTTCATGCCCGGGAGGTCTTCATTCCTCTAGGGCAAGTCCGTTATTCTAACAGTCACTCTCTTATTCTGATTCCTCGGTTCTCTGATGCATTTAGGGAATTGCTGTGGTTCGTTTCTTAAGAGTGTTTTAAAGGATAGCCCTGCAATGGCCAAATATAGCCCCTAAACTGAATCCAAACATTGGCCCAGCCCCCCAGTGTACTGCAAGGTCAGGTACCTCCTTGCATCTCTGTCCTAAACACCTCTCTTCTTAACATTTTTCCCCATATTTCACTCAGCTAGGTCTGTCTCATTTCTCAAGGTCTTGGCTGAAACATCACCCTTCTTAGGGCAGAGTCCTCTAATCACCCTGTCTAAATTAAGCTTTTCATCCTGTTACTAACGACAGCAACTCATTTCCCCACTTTGTGGCATCGATTGCCACAGGTATCCTTAAGTACAAGATTTCTTGCTATTTTAATTTTGATATCAAAATTCAGATCCCAAATATATTTGAATAAATTTATATATATATATATATATATATATATATATATCTGTTGCATCCAAACTTCTCATTATTTGAAATATAGAAACCAACTAAATTCAGATAAAATACTATTTTTCACTAAATATCTCATGAATAGAATAGGTTTGATAGTAAAAGATACTTGTATTTATGGTTTTTCCTTACTTCTTTGTCTCTCCACTGTGAGGACAAGATCTCTCTCATTTACTCTTGATTATCTAGTACCTTGCAAATAAATACCTGAAATAAACATTTTTTATATAACCCACAAGCTTTGGTTGCACTATGCATCTATTTTTCTTAATTCTCTAAGATTAATTCTTAATCTTAGAGATTGGTTGATTTTAGTGTTTGCCCCTGTAGTCTCTGAATGGATGTGTCAAGATGGATGCTAATGGGAACATGAGTGGAGGTCCAAGTGCATGTTTTCAGAATAAATGTAATGTGCATTTGTATGAGAACTAGTACACAAATGGTATGATCAAGTTATCCTGCTGTTAGTATAAGCTGAGCTAGGAGCAGAGGGGCTGGAATGAATTCCTTTTATCTACCTGTTTGGGGCTGTTTTGCTTGCTTCAAAATCTGATGCCTGTGGCATGTTGTTCAAGAATATCTGGCCGGGCAAGGTGGCTCACGTCTGTAATCCCAGCACTTTGGGAGGCCGAGGCAGACATATCACCTGAGGTCAGTAGTTCGAGGCCAGCCTGGCCAACATGGTGAAACCCTGTCTCTACTAAAAATGCAAAAATTAGCTGGGCATCATGGCAGGGACCTGTAATCCCAGCTACTCAGGAGGCTGAGGCAGGAGATTTGCTTGAACCCAGGAGGTGGAGGTTGCAGTGAGCCAAGATCATGCCATTGTACTCCAGCTTGGGGTACAAGAGCAAGACTCTGTCTCAAAAGAAAAGAAAATGTCTTCCTTATCCCACTCCTCCAGTATTTTAACTAATAGAAATTCCCTCTGAAATTTAACATATGGACTTCATTTATCCTTATAATGCTGCCAGAATCTGATTTGTCATTTGTCTGGAAGAGCTAAAGAGCAAGCTCAGAAGACATAAACCAGGCATAGACCAGCAAACTAGAGTTTGCTGTCATGCCAGTCCAAAATCCCAGTCTGCATTGAACTGGATTGTGGAGTGCTTTTTAATTGTGACCTTATAAATGATTTGGCCTTTCTCATTGTCCAATTGAATTTAAATAGTTTTCTAGATTTAATGTGGAAAATGAGATGACATGATTCACTGCCAAGGGACACTGGCTGACCACACAGATTAGAACTTTTTGTGGTGTGAAGGTAGAAATGCAGATGTAACTTACAGGCAGCTGTGGAAAAGAAAATGCAGGCCAGCTGGCTTGTCCAGAAGACTTAGAAAAAGGCCAATTGTCTTCTCCCATGAAAGTTTCTATAAGTTGAGGGCTATTTGGGGTTTCCCTAGAAAATAGTGCCAGGTAGAAAAAAGAGTCCAGACTGTCAGATCCTGGTAAGGGGTGAATAGAGTTTCACTAAAGGAAAAACTGAGTCTTGAGAGAATGGGCATCCTGGTGGTCTTTGTGTTCACAAAATGGGGTTCTGGAGTGGTGTTCAGGCCCCAGAGCAGGAAAGCCATTCAGACAGGAAGGCCAGCTGTTGAAACCAAAATGCTTTCACTTGGGTAAACACACGTTTTAGGGAAGTGTTGAATGGAACTCACTAGATGCTTTTCCATAAAGCAGTAGCAGTGGAATGAGGCAGATCTGCAAAGCTTCTTATGTGACTCAGTGTGGGACCTTGGGCCACATTACAGTGGTTGGAAAGGTTTGAGGCCACCTAGGCTTTCCAAGAAAAATTACAACAGAGCTTAAAGTTGAGTAATAGATACTATCAGGAGAGAAAAGGGGAATGCAAAAGATCCCAGATTGGCGTCTACTTAATCAGAAACAATTTTGAGAATTTGAGGGCTCCCAGAAGACAATCTAAAGCGGTTTAGTCTACATCTGAAATGTGAGAGTGTTTGGGTGTGTGAAAGTTACCTGAAGAGATTATTTAAAAATACATATTTCTCTGTCCCATCCAGACTGGCTGCATAGGAGCAATATGGGTTGTTGCCTTGTTATCTGCATGGTTTGAAATTAAAAATGTACAGCATGATGAATATAGTTAAAAATAGTGTAGTGTATACTAGAGATTTGCTAAGAGAGTAGATTTTGGGTGTTATCTGTGTCTATTTAAAGTTCTTCAGTGATTCTGGGGATCTCTGCTATCGGATATAGGAATACATAAGAAACTCTTTAAAATGGGAGGTCATATTTTCCCAGTGCATTTTTAATGGAAAGATTTTGAAACATTTACATTACATTGTAAACTCATCGAGGTCAGGGATTGACTTACACTTCCTTGTATTTTGTCCACCATTTTCAAACTCATCTTCTTAAGCTATTGCTTTCATAATATAACTCCCCTTCTTAAAAGCTTATTATGTTTATCATGTTGATTTATTTTCAGGCATAATGCTTAGACCAGACTTATGCTTTGCTGTAAACAACTAGAAAACAGAAAAAATACATAAAATAACTCTTGGTACTGGATAACAGGAATCATAGAACTGAGCCTCTGAGAAAGGACACCAATGAGGTGACCACTGTCATAGCCATGGCTTTCTGCCTATGTACACACTCCACATCGTGGCACATGAAAGTGACTCCAAGCACAGCACATTTGTCCTGCTGAGTGGAGGAGAAAGAGCTCAGTGTTTAGTGAGGCTCGGGTGACTGGAAATGTCGGGGCAGAGATTAGGATAACAGGGAATTAGACAGAAAAATAGCACCAGAAAGGTCCACACAGTTCTCCTTGAGTCTTTGGCTAAATATCAAGCCACACATGCTTAAGGTAAAATTCCCTGAGCCCAAACATGAAAGGACCAGGATGCTATATGCTGAAAAATTCCCAGAGCTCACATAGGGTTTGTTTACATTTGAACTCTGATGAGCCAAAACAGACAGAACTTTCTAATCTTTAGAGTATTCAGCAGAAATTCTAGACAGGCCACATCTTAGCAGTAGGGTTAAATTGTCCCTAGGGTAATGGCCACCCTAGACCCAAGCTATCAGAGTTTAAACATGAACCTCAAAACATTTAAGCTATTAAGCAATAACAATCTTCCAGAAAAACATTCAACATTCTATTAAAAATCAAACTTCAGATATGGAAACACATAGTATTTGGAATGCCCAGCATGTAATAAAAAATTATGAGACTACTAAAAAACAGGGAAATGTGAACCATAACCAGGGAAATAAAATCAGTCAATAAAAATTTACTAAAACTGAGCCAGATGGTAAAATTAGCACTCAAAGACTTTACGATAGTTATTATAAATAAGCTAAATATAATCAAAGATTTAATGGAAAAACATGAATATAGTGATGAGAGAAATAGAAGGTATAAAAAATCTAAGAAAAAATTCTGAAGATAAAAAATGTAGTATCTGAAATGGAAGAGTTCATTGCTTATTCAGCAGAAAATTAGGCACCACAGGAGAAAATATCAGTGAATTAGAACATAGCAATAGCAACTATCTAAATTAAAAGGCAGAAGGATAATTTTTTTTTAAAGTACCCCCTCAAAACCCAAATAGACTTCTGAAATGATGATGTTGATGGGGTGAAAAGCACCATAGATCCTCACCCCAGTGAAACAATCGTAACTGGCGCCTGTAGTCCCAGCTACTCCGGAGGCTGAGGCAGGAGAATGGCGTGAACCCAGGAGGCGGAGCTTGCAGTGAGCCGAGATGGCGCCACTGCACTACAGCCTGGGCAACAGAGCGAGACTCTGTCTCAAAAAAAAAAAAAAAAAAAAAATTTGTAACAGTCACTAGAAATTGTTCTAAGTGTGTACAGCAAATAGGGAAGTATTTATTTAAAAAACTACTAAATTTTGAGAAGAACAGTAAGGGTTATGGCATTTAAGCCATGGCCCACCCCTTATCCCCAGCTAACTGTGAAAATAATTGAAGGGTGTGGCCAAGAACACAGGGCTTCCTAAACCCCAGCTCTTGGTCTAGGAGCACAGTTATCATAACAGGGTAAGTACTGGCATAAGAAGAGATGCATATACATCAATGGAATGGAGTTGAGAATCCAGAAATAAATCTTTACATTTATGACCAATGATTTTGACAAGAGCACCAAGACAATTCAATGGGCAAAGATAGGTCTTTGCCAAAAAGGATGCTGGAACAACTGGATATCCACATGTTAAAGAATTTAGTTGGGCCCCTTCCTCACACCATACACAAAAATTACCTCATTATGGATCATAAACCTAACTGTAAAAAAAAATACAAAACTCTTATAAGAAAACATAGGAATAAATTGTGACCTTAGATTTGGCAGTGGTTTTGTAGATAGGCCCCAGAACCACAAACAACAAAAGACAATATAGATAAATTGGACTTCAATAAAATTACTTGTGTGCTGCAAATGATACTATCAAGAACATGAAAAGATAACCCATATAAGAAAATATTTGCAAATCATGTATCTTATAAGGGACTTATATCCACAATATATAAACCACTGTTACAAATCAATAACAGAAAAATAAATTTTAATTAAAAATGAGCCAAGGATCTGAATATACGTTTCTCCAAAGAAGACCTAAAAATAATCAGAGTACATTAAAAGATGCACACTGTCTGTGATATTTAAACTTTATGTGTCAACTAGACTGGCGTAAAAGATACCCAAATAGCTGGTGAAACATTATCTCTGGTTGTATCTGTTAAGAAGTTTTTGAAAGAGATTAGCATTTGAATTGGTAGACTGAGTAAAAAAGATTGTCCTCACCAACGTGGGTGGATATCTTTCAATCTGTTGAGGGTTTGAATAGAATAAAAAGGAGGAAGAGTGAATTCATTATTTCTTCTTGAGCTGGGACTTCAATCTGTTGAGGATTTGAATAGAATAAAAAGGAGGGAGGGTGAATTCATTCTTTCTTCTTGAGCTGGGACATTCATCTTCTCCTGCCCTTGGAAATCAGCAATCCTGGTTCTCCAGCCTTTGTACACAGATCAAGACTTACCATTGACTCCACTGGTTCTCAGTCCTTCAGACTTGGACTTGAATTACAACACCAGCTTTCCTGGGTCTCCAGCTTTCAGATGGCAGACCTGTAGAACTTCTCAGTCTTCATAATTGCATGAGCCAATCACTTTATCTATCTATCTATCTATCTATCTATCTATCTATCTATCTATCCATCCATCCTATTGGTTCTGTTTCTCTGAAGAACACTGGCTACAGAGCAACATTAGCCATTAGGGAAATGCAATTCAAAACCACAATGGGATACTACTACACACACCCACTAGGATGCTTAGACTAAAAAAGGCAGGCAATAGCAAGCAGTGGCAAGGATGTGAAGGAATGGAAACCCCGTATACTCCTCATGGGAATGTAAACAGGTACAGCTACTTTGGCAAAAAATAATTAGTAAGTCCTTAAAATGTTAAACTTATTGTTTCCATATGACCTAGCAATTCCATTCCTAGGTATATATTCAAAAGAATTAAAAACACATCCTCACAAAACCTCATACATGGATGTTCATAGAAGCATTGTTTACAATTTCCAAAAATGGAAACAATCCAAATGCCCATTAATTTATTCACTGGATGAATAAAATATAACATATTCATACAATTGAATAGTATTTGTCAAGTAAAAGGAATTACATTCTAATACATGCTACAATTTCGATGAACTGTGATAGTATTATGCTAAGTCAAAGAAGCCAGTCACAACACATTACATATTGTAAGATTCCGTTTGTATGAATTGACTGGAATCAGCAAATCTATAGAGTCAGAATGTAGATTAGCATTTGCCTAGGATGCAGTTTGGGGGTAGGAGATGACTCCTTGCTAATTGGCATGGGGATCTTATCAGAGCACTGGAAATGTTCTAAAATTAGATTGTGGCAATAGAAGCATAACTCTGTGAATTCAATCAATGAATTGTATAGTATGTGAACTGTATCTCAATAAACTGTGTCTCAATATATATCTTAATAAATGTATATCCCAATAAACTCTAAAAAATTTTAGGTTGCCAGCATTATGGTAAGAGCTTTTGGTCTATTATATCCTTTTGATTTGTATCTGTTTTTCTAATTCTTGTATCAGGGTTTTTTAATAAGGTGAGATGGATCTTAGGTAGTTTGTATAAAATAGTTCTTATAGGCTAGCAACTTTTAGGAAGTAATAGGTTTTCAGTAGATACTGTAATTTAATGAATTATCTAATCTCATTTCCCATCCCCCTAAGGTTAAATTTGATTATTTGTGTTTTTCTAGAACTTTCACTTTTATCTAGTTTGCAAATGGTTAGTAAATAGTTTATAACTTTTCCTTTAGGTTTTAACAGTTTCTAAAGTATCTTCAATATTTTTCCATGTTAATTTTTAATATTGTATAATTTTGTGTTCATTCTGGATCAATCTAGTCAGAGACTTTAATTTTTAAAAGAAATTGTTTTATTCATTATTTCAATTATTTTTTCCTAATCAACTAATTTTTTACTCATTTTTTTTCCTTTTAAGTTTTTCTACTTATTCTGTTCTTATTTTTTCCTTAATTTGAATGTCATGTTTACGTATTTTTAATCTGGAAAGGTAAATAAAGACTTGATCATACAGAAATTTTGGGGCCATCATCCTCTGGAGACTTCAGAATCTCAACTTGGAATTTCAAATATTTATAGCATTTCTTTGATTCTATTACATTTGACTTACTATTTGTAAAGATGTAAGGCTTTAAACAAACATCACATCCATCATTTCTAACCTAGAAAATGTTATTTTGCAGAATATGGTGTGGAGAATTGGCCCAATACTTGAATAAGATGATATGTATTTAGTATAAAACATTCTGTTCAAAAAACATTTTGAGTAGTTGCAATAAGCACTCTCTTATTTGGCAGCACATGTTCTAAAATAGCTTAGAATACGTCCTGATCCTTGAATAAGCTTTATGATTTCCAGATTATGAAAACATCATGTCTTGATAGTTGGCATAAATGAGCCATCTTTCATCCAGCTGTTGGTAGAATGCAGGGAGACGGGAAAAGGAAGGCATGCATTTAGTGAGTATCTGATCCACTGGTGTGGAAAGGTTCACCAGGTGTTTGGAGGCCGCTTCCAGTTCCAAATATTTTGGAAAGACTGACTGCCAGATTAAAATTGGAATTGAATTCAATGAAAGAGGCAAGGATAGCTAGGATTTATTTACTCCAGTCCCAAGTTTACCATTACAGAAATTGTGTCCTAATAACTTGATGATGTATTAAATATTTCAACACTTTCCCATTTAGAGAAAAAAAAAAGCACAGCTCTCTGCCAGTGCTCATTTCTGGGGGCAAATGGGAAATGGATTAAAATGAAGCTTGTAAATTAAGTGGTCCTGATCTAAAACACTGGAATTGTCCATAGAGAAATAAAGCATTGCATGTGAAAATCTTTGTAAAGCAACATGATTTATTAAGAAGGTCATGGACTCTGAAAGGGGCTAGGTAATACTAGTGTTTTTATCTCTGTCAAACCCTGATCTCTCTACATTTCAATTTTCTCATCTTTAAAATGAAAATAACATTTTACAAATTGCTTCATAAATTGACTTGCATGTGTCATGCAAATGTTAGCCAGGGGAGGTAAATAATTTTCAAGACTGTATTACTCCCAAGCAGTACATGTTTTCACTTATGCTAGAGGGAGGATTCAAACCCAAAATATCAGAAAGGCCCCCATTTTGCTATGCTAGTTTTCAATATATTAATCTGCATGCTAGAAACTGCTCTTCCATTGTTTGGCCTCAGTTTTTCTTGCTCTACGGCCTCTCTTATAAAGTCCTTTCCACCATGCAAAGGTGGTTGTTAAAGTATATTTACCTTCCTGAAGAACTCTTTGGGAAGATCAGTCAAGGATGTTTTATTGCCTAGATATAAGACCAAAGATAAAACAGACAGAAGCTCAGCTCTCTGACCTGTGCCTAAATTTCTGCCTGCCCCTCCCCCATAATTCTTTCGAAACATCACACTTGTGTTTTTGTTTTATCTTCATATGCAATTCACACAACACTTGTCACACCTTTAAATTTAGCTTTTAGGCCAACGAGGTCAAGACAGTCTGTTGTGCTGTCACCTGCCTCATATTTTTCACTCAGTAGAGAGAATATCCTCCAATTGCTTTCCTAATTGAAGCAGCTGTCCTAATTAGCAGCTCTAGCATGACGGTTTCTCCAGGTCAAACACTTTTGACCTGCCACCTTCTGTGGCAATATTTGATTGATGTTTTAAATTACGGGCTATAAAGAAACACCATAAAATATTAAGATAGTCTGAGAGATTTTGATTTTCTCTTAATATCCAGATGGTTTGCTTCTTTTCCACAGCATCCCATAACTTCTGACTCTAACAAATTAGATTTTTAGGAACTGATGAAAAGGGTCAGATTCTAGTATTTTCTACCATCAAAATATCTATTACCAACTAAAAGTCAAAATTCCAGTCTTAAAGCTAAAGATATTTTCTTTTTAAAGGGCTGGGAATAATGTATTTTTAGGCTTGAAGTCACCTTCAAAAGGGTGCAATGTTGGGTCAACATGTCACTTTTCATTGCAATGTAAGACGTTAATTCTATTCTAACTCAGTGATGAAGACTCTTTCATGGATGTCTACATATTGTGGCATATATCCTTGATTATCAAAATGGGGTCCAAGGTCCAATAGCATCAGCATCCATGGGAACTGGTCAGAAATGCAGCCACTAAGGTCCCACCCCAGACCTACCGAATCAGAACCTGCATTTTAACAGAAGTCCTGGGACTGGTATGCACATTAAAATCTGAGGCCTATAACATAGAGGACTTCCATGCAAGTGAGATACCACAGGGAATTCTCAGAAATTCAGGGGTAGTAAAGGATACTTTGCAAGAGCTGAAAGCCTTGAGATAGCTGGTGGTAACAGTCACAAACCATTAAATACGTGTTGTTTCAGTTAATGTGACTCAATTTTAAAGCCAAGTGCTCAGAGTCTGCATCTCCGATAGGGAGGACAACAATGAAATGTGCCATTCAGATATTTCCTAACTCAAACTGTGGGCAATTTACTTACTTTTTTAAATTAGAGATTTTGATAAAAATGAATGAAGTAGTATTTTATTAATGGAATGTATTCACTTATTAACAAAAAAAATTGAGCTTTTGTTACGTGCCAGATGCAGTGTCAGGCACGGATAACAAAAAGGTGAATGGAATATGGACTTTGTCTATATAAGACTCATAATTTAGTTAGGAAGTCAGAAAAATAAACCTATAATTATAATGTAAGTGTCCTTCTAGAAGGAATCACAGGCTACTTACTGTGGGATCATGTAAGAAGAGCCCTTATAGTCTCATGCTAGGATAGGGGTTTTGTTTTAGGGGTCCACATGAATTGGATCACTTTTCAATATTCACAATGAAGAACACAGGTTAGAAGGGGCTTTAGAAGTAAAGTAATAGTATTTTTTTAGGACAAAAATTTAGGACACATAATTTGTCAGGTACTATTTTATGTTCAAAGACAAAGAAATGATGTATTTTCAATAAATGTTGCCCTAGAAAATCGAAATATACTATCTACATATTGACTTTGACCCAGTCATGGAAATGTTTTATAGGTCTTTGTCTAGCAAACTGAAGTGGGGAAGTGGTGATTTTCTAGGCTAAGGAAATACCTTAGTGAAAGGCAAGAGGTTTAGAAGAATATTCATTTATTCAATTAATACAATGCTTATTGATTGAGCCTTACTACATATTAACCACTGATAATAGTCAGCAAAATAGTGTCTCTGCTTTTATGAAGCTTAGATTATAGTAGGGGAGATGTACAATAAATCAGTAAATACATAAGACGGGCCAGGAGTGGTGGCTCAAGCCTGTAATCCCAGCACTTTCCGAGGCCAAGGCAGGTGGATAACAAGGTCAGGAGTTTGAGACCAGCCTGGCCAATGTGGTGAAACCCCGTCTTTACTAAAAAAATACAAAAATTAGCCAGGCATGGTGGCATGAGCCTGTAATCCCAGCTACTCGGGAGGCCGAGGCAGGAGAATTGTTTGAACCCAGGAGGCAGAAGTTGCAGTGAGCTGAGATCGCACCACTGTACTCCAGCCTGGGTGACAGAGCAAGACTCCGACTCAGAAAAAAAAAAAAAAATTATTATATATATGACATGAAAGCTGGTGATAGGTGCTATCACATGTTTAAGATGTCAAGGAAACAGAGTTATGGAAGAGGCATTACCATTTTCCATTTTATAAACAAGAGTCAGCGAAGACCTTTAGAAAACAAGTGGCATTTGATCTAAGAAGGAAATAAGAGAGTAGGGCACAGAGAAGACCAGATGAAGAGCTTTGCAGGCAAGAGTGTACCTCGTGTACTGGAGGTATTGCAGGGAGGCTCAGGAGGCTCAGAAGGCTCAGAGTGGAGTGACCCAGGAGGAGGGTGGCCAGATGAGAGCGGAGATGTATCTCTGGAGGGGATTGAGGTTGGGATCACAAAAGGGCTGGTTGGTTATGATAAACACTTTGAATTTTATTCTGAGGTAGATGGAAAGCCATTAGGTGGCTTTGAGCAAAGGAATGGAATGACCTATTTTATGTTCTAAAAGCATAATTCTGGTTGCGAGGTGGAAAACAGAGTGTAGTGGGACATAGAAATGGCAAGATTCAGTGAGGTACAAAGAAGGCATGGACTTATACAACCTAGTCTCATGGTGTAGTTGCAAATAAGATTCAGTGGGATGATTTATAGTTCTGGCCTTCTTACTGTCCTGCAGAGAGACTGGCTTAAGTGGAATACAGTTGAAAGCATCATGACAAAGTCTCCAATAGTAGGACCCAGGCCCTGCATTGCTCTACATTTTTATAGAATAAGGGAGTCCAGCTAACCATAGTCAGCTAAGTAGCAAGAAGAGTTTATTGGACGGTGAAATAGCCTGCAAGAAAGGCTGACCCTCTAGAGCTCTGTCTCTGGAAGCATCTTTTTTTTTTTTTCCTAGGAATTTTTTCTTTTTTTAAATTTTACTTTAAGTTCTGGGTGGTTTGCTGCACCTATCAACCCGTTATCTAGGTTTTAAGCCCAGCATGCATTAGGTATTTGTCCTAATGCTCTCCCTCCCCTTCTCCCAACACCCCCGACAGACAGGCCCCGGTGTGTAATGTTCCCCTCCCTGTGTCCATGTGTTCTCATTGTTCAGCTCCCACTTATGAGTGAGAACATCCTGTGTTTGGTTTTCTATTCCTGTGTTAGCATCTTGTTTTCTCATTGAGTTAACTCAGACTTGCTACTGAAAAAAAACAAAATGAGACTCCAGAGCCTTCTACTTACTTGTATCTCTCCTCAATCAATTAGGAGACTATTTACTAGTCCAGGCAGAACAGCATAAAATGTGAGAACCTGATGAAGGTGGAGAGACTGATGGGAGTGATTTGAAAAGGAAGGCTGGGGTCAGATTGCAGAGGGCTCACTTGTCATGATGAGCTGTTTGAGCTATATTATTCAGAAACATCGCTAGACTAGGCTGGACACAACAACCACCCACAGCATCCTGGGGCATCAGAGCAGCAGTCAGCCAAGCTGCTGACAGCTCAGTATGCTGAATACACAAAAAGATGCACAAATTGTGTATTGCTATGCAAATGCAAGCAATGATGAGAAGTGTGACCATTTTTGAATTTTCTCTAGATCACTCTAAGTCCTCAAATTTAATGTTTCCTATGTCTTAGCAGCATACTTAGTTTAAAGATATCTTGAAAAGATAATACAGTTTTAATCAGAAAGGCTGCAGAGGGCAATGGATAGAGAAATGATCTGAAAACAGTTTGTAGACCACCAGTCCCACCCCTGGGTGAGTGCATGTGTGAAGTCAGAGTCACAGGTGTGAGTAAACACACACCACAGGATGCCCAAGTTGAACTCATGGCCTAGAACAGAGAGTTTTTGCTGGTGAGTGGTGGGGGTAAGCTGAAAAGCTTTTAGGGAGAAACAGACGCAGGGTTCTGTGAATGTTGGAGTATTGGGGACCAATGACAGCATCATAAGATAGACATCAGCAGCCCCCACTATGGCTGTTCAAAGATTTCGAGAAAATTTTGAAACCGTGCCCCCTAGGAGTTAAGGAACCGATGACTAAGTTGTTTGGTTTACAAGGTAGCAGATAAGAAAAGAAACAATTTTCTGGACGCTGAAACTCAAACTATGCTCCCAAAGACTAAGAAACCAGTAACTCACCGAAATTCTTGAGTTGACAAGATAGCAGAGAAGAAAAGAAACAACCTGCTAAGATGCTGAAACTACATTAAAACTTAATGGCTTAAAACAACCATTTACTTAGTTCACAATTTTGTGGATCAAGAATTTGGAGGGGATTGGCTGAATGGTTCATATCTTTTCTACTTGTGAGATCAAGAAAAAACTGGCTGAAATCAGTTGAAGACTAAGATGGCTGACTGGAGTTTGCATAGAACAAACTTGATTGTGCACGTGACCCATGGATTTGCATGAAGTGGTAAGTGCTCATGCCCAAGGACTTGGCCACATCCTCCCTTTCTTCCACCAATCACGTGCTAATCCAAATATCCATCCTCTAATCCATCCTCTAATTCTTGTCTTTTTTTCTTTTCTTTTTTTTTTTTTTTTTTTTTGAGATGGAGTATCACTCTGTCACCCAGGCTGGAGTGCATTGGCGCAGTCTTGGTTCACTGCAACCTCCACCTTCTGGGTTCAAGCGATTCTTCTGCCTCAGCCTCCTGAGTAGCTGGGACTGCAGGCATGTACCACCATGCCCAGCTAATTTTTGTATTTTTAGTAGAGAAGGAGTTTCACCATATTGGTCAGGCTGGTCTTGAACTCCTGACCTCATGATCCGCCTGCCCCAACCTCCTGAAGCGCTAGGATTACAGGCGTGAGCCACCGTGCCTGGCTCCTCTAATTCTTTTCTAATAAAATTTTTGCCTTAAAAACAGCATGGGGAGACAGATTAGAGCTTGACACTCGTGTCTCCTTATGAGTTGACTTGCAACATAGAACTTTCTTTTCAAAAAAAAAAAAAATGAAAACAACAACAAAACAAAACAACCCAAAACCCAAAGTCATAGTACTGGCTTCCAGCACATTGGGCATTAGCTCTATAACAATTTATTGAATTAAGTTAATTAAGTTCATTCCAAAAGTTCTGTGATTTCTTAAGGACATCTCATTCTCATGGCTGCCTCTGTTGACACTCCTGCTTCCTCCCCTAAGTTTTTGTCCTGCAATATACCAAGTCCAGATAGGAAACTTGGCCCCTTATCAATTTTACACACAGCTCACATATACACACTCCAAGGTACTTGGGAATCAGCAAGAATTTACTGTGGCCCTGAGATCTCAGAGAAGAGTAATTTTTGCATTACACAGCAAAACGAACTTAAAAATCAATTCTGGTTTACAATTGCTGAGTAAAAACTACACTAAAACTTAATGGTTTATACAACCATTTACTTAGTTCGCAATTTTGTGGATCAAGAATTTGAAAGAGATTGGCTGAATCATTCATATCTGTTCCACATGGCATCCTTGGCGGGTCTGTAAAAAGACAATTGGTTAACAATAAATGTATGAATCTATTTCTTTACATTCTTTTCAGTTGACCTATATGCCTACCTTATTGTCAATAACACTGTCTTAATTATTATAAGTGATAAACCAGGTAATGAAAGCTATCAACTTTGTTATTTTTAAAAATCGTTTTGTCTCTTTTAGGTATCCCCATTTAAAAAAAAAATAGAATCAGTTTGTCAACTTCTACAAAGAAATCCTGCTGGGATTTTTATTGGAGTTGCATTGACTGTATAGATCAGGAGTGTCCAATCTTTTGGCTTCCCTGGACCACATTGGGAGAAGACTTGTCTTGGGCCACATGTAAAATATGCTAGCACTAACAATAGCGGATGAGCTAAAAAAAATTGCAAAAAATCTCATAATATTTTAAGAAAGTTTATGAGTTTGTGTTGGGCCACATTCAAAACTCTCCTGGGTCACATGTGGCCTGCGGACCACAGGTTGTACAAGCTTGGTATAGATCAATTTGGAGAGAATTGACACATTAACATTACCTAAGCTTCTGGCCTATAAACACGTTATATATTTTTATTTAGGTAGTTATTTAACTTCTCTCAGCAATATTTTGCAGATTTAAGGGTATCGATCTTGCATACATTTGATAGATTATCCCTAACTATATCAGTTTTCTTTCGAGGCTGTTGAAATGGTATTTTCATTACTATTGCTAACGTTTGTTGTTAATATATAGGAATACAACTGATTTTTTTGTATTATGACTGCTAAGGGGGCCTTACTAAACTCACTATTACTTCCAATAGCTCTTTCATAAATTCCTTAGGATGTCGTCAATAGACGATCAACTGGTCTGCACTTTAGTAAAACTAAAGATCGTTTTACTTCTGTGTTCAGCATGTCTTTTATTTCATTTTCCTTATTTACATGGCTAAAGCCTCTAGAAATTATTCAATAGAAGTAATAAAAGTGCACATTCTTGCTTCAATTCCCATCTTAGATAGGAAGGCTTTAGTTTTCACTATTAACTGTGAGGTTAGCTATTGGTTTTTAAATGTCCTTTGAGAATGCTCTGTTCTAGTTCTTGTTCATTGAGAGTTTTTATTATGAATGAATAAAGTGTAGAATTATTTTTATATGTTGCTGGTTTCATTTTCTAGTAGTGTTTTGATTTTGGGGGCCATATTCATAACACGTGTTGGTCTTTAGTTTTCTTTTTTGGTGATGTCTTTGCTTAGCATTGGTATCTGAGTAATACTGGCCCGGTAGAATGAATTTGAAAATGTGTCCTCCTCTTCTACCTTATGGAAGAATTGAGAAGAATTCAAATTAATTACTTTTTAAAAGATTTTGCTAGAATTTGCAGGAGAGCTATCAGGCCTCAGCTTTTCTTTGTTGGAAGCATTAAAATTACCAGCTAAATCTTTTTACTTGCTATAGGTCTATTCAAGTTATTCATATCTTCAAACACTTTTGGTAGCTTGAAATTTTCTAGGAACCTTTGCATTTTATATAGGTTACCTAAAATTGTTGACATTCTCTTGTTCGTAGTTTTATAATTCTTTTTATTTCTCTATAATTGGTAATGATATACCATCTTTCATTTCTGATTTTACTACTCAAGACTTTTTTCTTTGTCACTATAGATAAAATTTTATTAATTTTGATCTTTTTGGAGAACTGACTTTTGGTATTGTAGATATCAATTTTTTTTTATTTTCTATTCTGAAATAGAATATTCTGAAATAGAAATAGGTTTTTCTATTCTGTCTCATTTATTTCCATTCATATTTTATTATTTCCTTTGTTCTGCTTATTCTAAATTCAGGTTGCTCTTTTTATTCTTGTTTCTCATGTAGAAGTTTAGTTTATAGATTTGAGATGAGTTTTGTTTTTTAACATAGGTGTTTACAGCTATAAATTTCCCTGTATGGAATGCTCTAACTGCATCCGATGTATTTTCATGTAGTGTTTTCAATTCCATTCATCTCAAAGTGTCTTCTAATCTCTCTCATCATTTTTTCTTTGACTCATTGTTTATTTAGGAGTAACTTGTTTAATTTCTACATGTTTGTAGATCTCCATAATTCTCTTTTGTTATTTCTAATTTCATTGTTTTGTTATTGAATTATGCCTTTTGTGTCTTTGCAATCCTTTTAAATTTATTAAAGCTTATTTTATTGATTAGTATTTAATCTGTCTTCAAAAATGTTCCTTGTACTATTGAGAAGAATGTGGACTCAGTTGCTTTGAGTGGAGTGTATTAGAAATGCATGCTAGGTCTAGTTTGTTGTTAATATAATGTTACTCATGTCTTCTAAAACTTTGCAAACCTTCGTCTACTTGTTCTATTCATCATTGAAATTGTGGTATTGAAGTCCCCAACTTATATGCTTGAATTACATATTTCTTCCTTAAATTCTATGAGTTTTTGCTTTGGGTATTTTGAGCTCGTGTTTAGGTGTGTATATGTTTATAACTGATATATTAATAATATCTTCCTGATTGATTGACTTTTTATCATTATAAAATGTCTCTTTCACTCTCACTAGTAACTTTTTGTTGTTGCTTTCAAGTTTGTCTGGTATTAGTATTGTCACTCCAGTTCTTTTACGGGTACTGTTTATATATTTTTTCATCCTTTTTCCTAGCCAAGATTATGACCAAAATTCAATAGTCCAAGTGAACATATCCCATCTTCCATGAATCTGTAGAGAAAAAAGGTTTGGAATCAATAAGTTTGCGTAACACTTGGTTTATCCTGTTAATTTACCTTGAGTAACAATGTTGGAGATGTACTTTGGAAATCTCATTTTAGCAATCAAAAATCTTTCAAGTTAACCAGGAGAGGAAGAGTCATTAGAAGAAGATGAAAGAGACAAAAAGAGTATGGCAGTAAGTGGCTCCTGGCTTTCAGGATTTTTGATTTAAAAGTTTTGATGAAAGTTGTCTATGCCCAGCAGTCCGCTGCTTGACTTGAATTTCTAGAAATTTTTTTTCTCCTTCATGATGCTTTCTGCTTCTGGAGAGCCCAAAAGATTTAATTTTAGATTATCCATTGGCACAGAAGCCTAGGAAGTTTTCATAAGATGTCTTCATTAGGGAAAAGTAGTGTGAAAGGTCTATTTCCTGGAGTTTTACTGCAGTATTTGTGTTTAAAAAGTCACGAATACTCTTTCAACAAGTCATATGATAAAGGCACTTCCAACAAGGTTTTAAAAAAGGCTTACATTCGTGGCATTTAGAGTAAAGTCTCTGGGCTAAAGGCTATGCAGTTGTCCCTGTGACTTGTCTTTAATTGGGATAAATATTATAAAGGTTTGATGCAGCATACCAGCTTATTACCAATCTGTCCAGGAAAGCCACTTGGACAGGTTGGTGATAAGCTGCTATGCTGCATCAAACCTTCATAATATTTATCCCCATTAGCCTAAAAAAACAGTCAATGTCAAGGGAAAGAGCTAACATCTCTAGACACTCACGGTATGTCGTGACCCTCTCATCTGGGGGCTGTCTCTGACTTCATATTAAAGTGAGCCTAAAGGATAGGAGAGCTAAGAATAAAATTCCAAAATATTTGAAACTAAATAACACATTACTAAATAGCCTAAGGATCAAAGAAAACAAGGAAATTAAACTACAATAATGATAGAATTTAAAATAAAAATAACGTATCAAAAACATTATGCCAATAAATTTAGCAACTTCAATGAAATGGCCAAATTCCTCGAAAAACACAAATTACCAAAACTGATGGAAGAGGAAATAGAAAATGGGAATATTCCAATATCTTTAAGAAATTGAATCTGTAATCAACAACCTCCCCTAAGATGTCTTTACCCGGGAATTCTACCAAACATTTAGGCAAGTAATAACAGCAATCTTACATCTTACATAAAAGAGAAAAAAAAATCATATATCATCAAAATTTTAAAGTCTGCTTTCAAAAGGCAGAAATAGGAGAATGAATAGACAAACTATAGGCTGCGAAATAGTATTGAATATAATCTTTTGCAAAAAAGTGTACTTATCAAAGAATACATATAAGATATATGTCTAGGATATCTTACATATATACACACGTGTGTATGTGCGTGTGTGCATGCGTGCGTGCACATATCTTACAAATCACTGGCATCCTGAATGCGTAAAAAAACTCCTGCAAATGTTTGATAGAATTAATCTGGCCTTGGAGTTTTTCTTGTGGCCAGCTTTTTGGCAGTTTCTCAAAAAGTTGAATATGTGTTTATCATATGACTCAGAAATTCCACTTCCATGTATTTATCTGAGAAAAGTAAAAATACATAGCCACAAAAATTTTACAAGAGTGTTCAAAGCAGCCTTATTTTTCACAATAGCTCCAAATTGGAAATGATCCAAATATCCAGAAAGAGAAAATATATAAACAAATGGCAGCCTATCTATAGAATGGAATAGTACTCAGCAATAAAAAAGAATAAGTTAGTAACATATGGGACAACAAGGATAAATTACAAAAACATCTTACTGAGCCAAAGAACCCAGACACATTAGAATAAATAGGACATAGTTCCATTTATTTGATGTTTGGGAACAGACAAGCTACCCTCCAATGCTGGAAAAGAGTACAGTAATATCCCACAGCAAGGAAGGGGTAGAATGGAACTTTCTGGGTTCCATTAACAGGGGTAAAATGGAACTTTCTGGGTTTATAGAAATGCCCATTATCTTGTTTTGGCTGGTAGTTACATGTTTTGATACAATTATCAAAACTTATCTAACTAAACACTTAAGAAGAATTAATTTTATTGGATGCAAATTAAACATCAAGAAAGAATCATAATTTCCCTTTGGTATAAAATCCCTTCTTTTTCATCAACAAACCACTTCCTCTTCCCCTCTTCTCTAATGAAATTACATAATTTAAAAAAAAAATTCTATTAGCCAACCATGATATAATCCATTTTCAGAATACGGAGTTGACATATTTCTATATCTATATGGTAATTAATAGGTTTTAAGGACTTAATAATTATACTCTCTTCATACAATGAGACATAAAATGTTAGTGGTCCTGCATTAATACCCACTTCGAAGGCCACCTTTCAGCTTTCTATGGGGTAAAGCCCAGTGAGATTTTTTTTGCGGAGGGTCACTCTTCGAAGTTGCACATCAAAACCTCGACCAGAAGATTGGCAGGAGTATCACATGGCAGGCTCTGTCCACTAACATATCCACTTAAGTTTCTAGTTAGAACCTATGTTTGAGGTGGGCAATTCAGGTTCTGGAAGGCCAGAATCAGTGGGCTTTTAAATGCGAACTGTAGAAACAAAAGTGTAGTGTTATAAACATTATGAGAAAATTAATGTTTCTTCTCATGTGTTTCCTTTCATCCTTTCCCTACTGGAAATATTATCATCAAACCTCAAGGTGGAGCTATCATCACATAGTTCTCACTGGCTTTTCTGTCAGTGCAAGCAACAAAAAAAAACATCGCAGTTTGCAGGTGTGTTTCTTCTTTGGTTCCTTCCCCTAAATATACTTATTATTTTATACACTCCATAGAGCAAAAGTCAACAATTCACACAAAACACATTTTGTATTATGACCAGGTAATCATTTTTCTCTTTCCTCATAAGTAAACTTTATAAAATAACATATTTGCTATGTGTGAGGAACTTTCACAATATCTATACTCCTTGAGGTCGTTTATTTAAATGCTGACATAAAACATTAAATTGTTTTCAGAGTCCGTTAGTTTATTTCAACCCACAGTTTTAAAAACATATGCTAAGGATGTGCTACTCAATACGACACACAGTAGTCAAACATGGCTACGTATATTTAAATTAAAAGTAATTAAATTAAAGATTCAGTTCTGTAGTTGTGTTATGTGCATTCAAGTACTCCATAGCTACATGTTGGTGCCCGTATTGGGTAGCATAGATATATTTCTATCATCACAATAATTTTTATTAGAGAATGCTTCTCTAAGGTAACTATAATTCTCATTTTTAAAGAAAAAGAACATATTGATATAATAATATTTTAAGCAGAAGCAGTTCCTGATTAGAGAACCATCCCTTAATTTCTTGCACTTACTTAGTACTGTAACAGTAAATATTTTTGCTGACTTGTAAGGTGGTCTTTGTATTTAAAGTTTCCTTGTTATTTTTTAGGTTTAATTATACACCCAAATGTAACTAAGTGAGCATTCTGAGCACCAGAAGTCAAACCCCATGGTCAGATAAACCTTTCTCTGTGATTCCACAGGGCAGCATTTATGGGCTCAGTACATACTGTTAACGATAGAGCAAAATTGGCTTACATGCAGTAGTAATTCTTAAGGGTTAAGCCCCAACACATGTTTGTTTAAAAAGAAAACGTAGTGTGACCTAGGGAATCTACTTTTTTTAAAGCTCAAAATAATTCTTATCTGCCCTACAGTTTAAACACCACTGATAGGATTTATTTATATGTCAGAGTATAAGAAAGTAATTTTAAAACTAAAAAGTTTTGTGCAGCTATTCATGTCAGAAAGGAATGCTTACCCTCTATTTCTCATGTTTTCTTCAAGGGGAGGAAAATTCTAGTTCCTTAGAGGGTAATGAATGGGAGAAACACCTCTGTTCTCTTTCATTTCACTCCCTTTCCATTTCTCCCCATGGAATGAGAAATGACTTTTCTGGTTGGTGACACCAGAGAAAAGAGTCAGCTTACATGCCCCAGCCCCTTTGAGATTCTCTGTCATACTGTGAGAGGCTGGTCTCTAAGGACACAGACCTTATCTGCTAATCAGTCCATCATATCTGGACATGTCAGGAAACTCAACTGTGACCAATGTTCAAGACACATTCTCCAATTCAGCTTGATCAGCAACAGTGATGATAATTTGCTTCTCATCCATTTGATTCAACACTCAAGAGCTTGACCCTCTCAAGCCCTAACATGTAATGGTGTAATAGCCAGGAGCCAAACCCAGATCAGTTGTTTGGAAGGCAGTATGCTCAGCTCCGTACTTCATCTGTTTGACATCTATCTGTCCCCATGCACACACGTACACCACCACCACCACACTCACACACCACTGTTTTCTACACACGATGTAAGGAAACTTCATTGCTTCCTTCCTTTCTCTCCTTGAATTGGAGAAATGCACTTGAGGGATGGATGTGTGCTGCTTCCGGTAAAGGAAATATGCTTTGGAGTGTGGAATGACTATGGGATGGGGAGTTGGGACGAGAAGGCCTCCCCAGAGAGACCCTTGGACAGGCCCTCAGTTCACTCAACTTGGAAAGAATTGTCTCCCATCAACTTTCAAGTGATAGAGTGGGCTTGTCATGTTGCTTTTCAGTGTTTTACCTATTCCTTTGTAGAAGAATACGTAGAAATAGTAAAAGAATGCAGGAGAACCCTACTGGTCAGTAGCTTGATATACCCACCTGTTGGCTTGGAATCCTCTGTGACCAAATGGCATCCAAAGAAACTGCGGTTATGGTTCTTTGTTTAAATGTCTGTTCATCTTATAAGGTGTGTATTTATTTTTGGGAGCAAGATGGGGTAGATACAGAGAGGTGAGAATGAACCATATTGGTTTGGAAAAACTAAGAACACCAGTAAAGAGTAAAAAAAAAAAAAAAAAGAAAGCACTGATGTGTTATTTTTAATCACACACAATAATTATGTCGAACAACATCAGGATTTAAGATAATAGGTGTCAACATTTTCAAGATAATAGCCAACTATTCAGCCTCAACTTCTGAATCCTGGGAGATGAAATGTCTGGATGCTTCTGTCAGTTATGAAGTGGTGGTAATGAGTCACAATAAGGCAAATAGTAAAATAAGGAGGAAATCCCATGGCCAGGATGTGATGGACAAAGGAGAAAAGGGGGAGGACATAAGCAAGGAGAGAGAGCAAGGGAGGGTGTAGAGAAGAGTATTAACTCTGCATATTGTGTATTAACTACACCTTCCTTGTGGAATCCAGTCTTATTCTGATTGCAACATGTTTAAGTGTGTGTTTGCGGGGAATGGACATGAATGAATGCCCAAATTCCTTCCCACTGGTGGGGTACATGCGAGCATACCTGAGCCAGTGAGCATGAAGCTCATGTGAAAGACTTTCAAAGGACTCTCACCATTCATGAGACTGCATGTTGCCACTGTATGGTACCACTTTCAGGAATGAATTTCAGTTTTAAGTAAACTAAACCTCTTGTTTAAAGGAACACATCTGCAGTAGAGAAATAAGATTAAGCCAGCAACATTGACCTCTATTCTGAAACCAAAACAGTTGAAGAAATTTATAAATAAATTATCCAGAAGAGGATGGATGGGATGGTGAGGGAATTCAAAATCATGTTCTCTGAAGACCTTTTTTTAATTCTTAAGGGATGTGGAGGTATTTTCCCTTAAGAGAAGGATCATGGGAGATAGAAGTTTTGCCTTCAAATATTTGAAAAACTGTCATGTGGAAAGACTAGATTAGTCATCTGTGGTCCTGGCAGGTGAACTAATACCTGTTGTGGGAGTTATGAGGAAGTAAACTTTGGTTCAGTATCAGGAGAGGTTTTCTGACAGCTAGTTTTCGACTCTTTGGAGCAGCATTTGTCATTGGTGAAAATCTTCTAAGCTTTTACATTCGGCCTTTATCATTTCACCTCTTAGCTCTTCCTACAGACTGCTTATGGCATTGGTCAAAATAAGAGCCTATTCCCAGAGCAGCATGAGTTTCTAACTTTGCATAGAACACCACACAAATAAATACTATGTACTTAATCAATCACATGGAAAACTGATGCCAAGTATTTTTTTTATCACGAAGACAAGAGTCTTATGCCAACCTGGTAGACTTCTAGTATGCAGCTGAAAAATGCAGAGTTTTTTAGAAGGTCAAAGTCTCCTTTCTTGGACTCTTCCTCCTGGAGTAGCATTCCTTGTACCTGAGTCCTTAAACCACTTTTCAGTTCAAAACCCGAATCTAGGACAGCATTTTAATAAAAGGTTAACATTGAGTAGTTGTTAAAACCGCATGGTTAAAGTTCTTCCTGAGAGTAAAAATGTACTTTCAAATGTTAATTAATTCAACATCTTATGAATCCTGACAGAACAAAATAGCCAGCACGGAAAGAGCCATCACCACCCTCCACCTGAAAAGTTTTCCTGTGGGAAATGCTAAAAAGGATTCATATTATAGCTGTCAGTCCTTTCAGTTTTGCTTGTGTTTTGGCATTATTCACTATGTGTATATTTTTAACAGCAGCCCAATAGCCCAACACAAGAGAGTCTGAATGCTTTCCATAACAGCACCGACAAGCCGATGGCCCAGAAAGTAAACACAATGCTTCTCACCTCTTGTGCCCTTTAGTTTATCAAGGTTTATCACATGAGAGCCAAAGACCTTGGAGGAAGGCCCTTGCATTCTTTGCCTTTTCAGCAAGAAAAGTCATAGTCTGTAGAAGCAGCGAACTTTACAGAGCTTATCTGATTTTTGGCTCAGGGACTCATTATAAAAAAAAAGAAGGACATCGATCAATCCATTTTGAATAGGTCAATATGGAACACTGACAAGAAAGAAATGTTGGGTAATAAATTAATTGAAAGCTCCAAGTAGGGAATTATATAACACAGAGGTAAACATATAGTTTTATGTCATAGCTACATGACATATACAAGTTGAAAATGCAATTTACACGTGTGTTTTATTTAGTAGCCTAACAAATGAAGCAATTTTGCACCTAATTTTAAAAAATGCCACAAGTAATCTTGGTTGTTTTTTTTCCTCACTTTTAAATCCCAATACATTCATCAACACTCTTTTTGTCAACCCTACCAGACCCCACTCACACCTAAAATCTCAAATAATATCCAACTCGAAGAGATTTTATAAGGATTAGATGAGGCAAAGGTATAAAACATATATTCAAGTTGGATTAGCACCTAACACATAGTAGCTATGCAATAATTGTACATTTTTTAAAAGTATCTAATGCCAAATAAAAGAGGTGTCCAATGTCAAAATAAATCCATATAAGGCCACATGGATAGAAAATAATATTTTCCATTTAAAAATGTCTTTGTAGTTGGGCTTCTGAAAAACAGACTCAAAGTTTTTTGTTTGCACTATATAAATCCAAAGTCTGCTATAGTTTCATGATTTATGATAATAATTTTCTCTGTTATTATATAATGCCTCATTATATAATGACCTCATAATTCAACAATATTATATCAATTACTTTTTTAAAAATCTCCCATTGAAAAACTATGAGGCTAAAATTCAGGGATGGCTCAAATGTGATGAATGTGGGTGGGCACAGTTTTTAGTTACCTCTAATACAATCCTGAGACATTTTGTTCTAAAACCTGTTTGAATTCTATATTAAAGTAATTCTTTTTCATTTCCACTATCATAGATTTCAAAAATTTATAAAGGAGTTAAAAATTGCCTTTTCTGATTTTAAAACATCATGAATATCTAACTCATGAATATCTAATAAAATTATAGCCCAAAAAATCTAATAAATACAGAATAGGGCATTTTAAAAGTAGGTTCCAACCACTGAAATGAATCAATATTAAAATAGGGTTCTGCCATGACTCAAAACAAGGCAGCTCTAAGGGAAACCATGGGATACACATAAGTTCTATTTATTATCTTTCTGATCTGTGCCTTTCTCCCATTCAGAGGACCTCTCCTCATTCCAGGTTCTCAGGTGCTTATACTCTATCTTTCCAGCCACCATATCTGTTCTCAGTGAAGGATCAGCATTCCTTTCTACTGATACGCACATTTCAGTTTAGAAGTGTATCTAAGGATCAGTAGTAAATTCCTTTCTACTGATATGCACATTTCAGTTTAGAAGTACATCTGGTAGTGGTTAATTGCTCTGAATTATAAAAAGTTTAGTTTCAAATCCTGGAAATTCCACTTATTATCCGTTTTACTTGTGTCTTTTCTGGTTATTGAAAGAATGCACAGGACTCTTCAATATATATTCACACAAGACTCACTTGTAATACCAGGCATATTGTTTCATTACGTGTTATTGAAATTGTGCAAACGACTCTTTATCCTTTGTCAGCCCTGCAATATGGTAAGTGGGCACTTTGTGAGTGATGAAGCAGATGATAAATTCACTGTATACTTGCTTTGGACAACAAAATATTATATACATCCTGGCATGTGCAGGAAAATGAATTTCTTAATCAGATGATATCTAACCTGGAGGTTCAAAAGGAACGATATTTTCTGCTTTAGTTTGATCATGTTTAAAACATTTGTCACCATTAGAGGGGATGCAAATCTAAATTCAGAATAAATATCTATCCCAGTAAAAACCCATCTGCACCCCTCCACAGGCATAAAGCCAATGTAATTCACTTACTACCTAGGCGCAGGTCTGGATTCTCTGGGTATGCAAGCCCACATCACATCACCCTTCAGTCTTTGATGTCACTCCGTGATCCTTTCCGAAGAATGGATGATGGCACCCACTTGTTGGTTCCAGTTCTCCTTCAAATTTGGGAAGGTTTTTCTGACAAGCATAACATATTATCTTCTTTAACTCTCCTTTTGCATGTTCATAATGCTTTTCAAAACATAGTACATCACATGAGGTTTTCTTATTATCTAATTATATAAGGCTTTTTTTCAGAACGTATTACTAGTCCTTTGGCTATGTCCCAGTAATCAGCATAATTCTTAACTACATCTTCCTCTTCAGGCTCTCCTCTTCCTCTTCTTCCTCCTCCTCCTCCTTCTCCTTCTGTTTCTTCTTCTTCTCACTATCTAGTTCTTCCAATACCCTTAGTGTTCTTAGTACCTCATACTGCTTAAATTTATCTTTTCCTTTTTCAGTCAGAATATAGCCATAAATCAGTTGTAATACAGCTGACTTCCAACTAAAATGTTGACCCTCTATCCATGAGCTACCATCAGAAAACCATGCTAACTCTTTTTTTTCATCCTCCAGTAATTGGCCAAATGTGGGTTCCCACTCACTTGTAGGATTAGGTAAATCAGAAGGATTAAAGGCATCCCTTAAAAGCACAGTTACTATTCATGTATGCAATGGATATCTCATATGGTTACCTCTGTTACATGGTCCATATTTTACTCTTCCCATTTAATGAAGAAAAACCTTTGTTTTTAACTTTTTTTTTCTAAGTTCAGGGGTACATGTGAAGGTTTGTTATATAGATAAACTTGTGTTGTGGGGGTTTGTTGTACAGATTATTTCATCGCCCAGGTATTAAGCCTAGTATCTATTAGTTATTGTTCCTGATCCTCTCCCTCTTCCCACCTGCCACCCTTTGATAGGTCTCAGTGTGTATTGTCCATGTGTTCTTATCATTTTGCTCCCACTTACAAGTGAGAACATGTGGTATTTTGTTTTCTATTCCTGCATTAGTTTGCTAAGGATAATGACCTCCAGCTCCATCAATGTTCCTGCGAAGGACATGATCTCAGTCTTCTTTATAGCTGCATATTATTCCATTGGCATATATGTACCACATTGTCTTTATCCCATCTATCACTGCTGAGCATTTAGGTTGATTCCATATCTTTGCTGTTGTGTATAGTGCTGCAATGAACATACATGTGCATGTGTCTTTATAATAGAATGATTTACATTCCTTTGGGTATATTTACATTCCTTTGCCTACTTTGTAATGGGGTTGTTCATTTTTTTTCTTGTAAATTTGTTTAAGTTCCTTATAGATGCTGAATTTTTGTCCTTTGTTAGATACATAGTTTGCAAAAATTTCCCGTTTTTTAGGTGGTCTGTTCACTCTGTTGGTAGTTTTCTTTGCTGTGCAGAAGCTGTTTGTTTTAATTAGATCCCATTTGTCAATTTCTGCTTAGGTTGCAATTGCTTTTGGCATCTGATCATGAAATCTTTGCCCATTCCTATGTCCAGAATGGTATTGTCTGGTTTGTCTTCCAGGGTTTTTATAGTTTTGGGTTTTACATTTAAGTCTTGAATCCATCTTGAGTTAATTTTTGTATACGATATAAGGAAGGGGTCCAGTTTTAGTCTTCTGCATATGGCTAGTCAGTTCTCCCAGCACCATGTATTAAATACGGAAACCTATCCCCATTGCTTGTTTTTGTCAAGGTTTGTCAAAGATCAGATAGTTGTAGGTGTGCAGGCTTATTTCTGAGTTCTCTGTCCTGTACATGGGAAAAAAACTTTTTTATTGCTCTATTAGTCTGTTCTCACACTGCTAATAAAGACATACCTGAGATAGGGTAATTTATAAAGGAAAGAGGTTTAACGGACTTGCAGTTCCACATGGCTGGGGAGGCCTGACAATCATGGCAGAGGGTGAAGAGGAAGCAAGATATGTCTTACATAGTTGCTGGCAAGAGTACATGTGCAGGGGAACTCTCATTTATAAAGCCATCATATCTTACAAGATTTATTCACTATCACAAAAAAAGCATGGGAAAGACCCACCCCCATGATTCAATTACCTCCCAACGGGTCCCTTCCAGTACATGTGGGAAATATGGGAGCTACAATTCAAAATAAGATTTGGGTAGTGACAAGAGCCAAACTGTATCAATTGCCCTCAATATTTAAAGCTTCAAAAATTTTTTTGCTTATGTAGTAAATGCAATTTCAGTCAATAATAAGCCAAAACTATCTCTTGAAGAGAATATAACTGGTAGACGTTTTAGGCACCTTAATAGTTTAAAATCCCAGTGGTCACTGACAGGTGATACATGCCAGTGAGCAGTAAGTGCCAACACTGTTAATGTCATCTGAGCATGGGTATTTTAAGCCCTCAATGTGCTTGAGTGAGCAATGACTTTTCAGAGTTCCAATAAAGACTGTTGCTATTCAGAACGCTATGTAATTCATTTTTTTTTTTTTCTGTGTGACTTTCTAAATAGAGGCTAGCAGAATCCTTAAATGTCAGAAATTTTAGTATGGCAGCTAAACTCTTATTTGAATTTTTGACCTAGCAAGTAAAACAATTTAATTTTGTTTGTTTTGATGGAAGTCACTAGTGGCTCCAGTCAAGCTATTCTTAGGAATTTCTTCTTTGTGCTGACACTTGTAGTTTTTATTTTTTATTTTTTAGGAGGATTCTTCATTCACCCCCAATGATAGTTATATAATTATACAGAACAGTTGTTCAGTTTTAGATTGATTTTAGATCCAAACATTATATCACATATTGATTATATCATCAATATAATGATTGACAGTGCTTTTCAATTGCATTGAATCTAAGTCTTCTCACTAAACTGTACACTAAGCAAAAAATTCTAAATATCCTTGTGGAATAATAGTAAACGTGGTGTTCATCCTACTTAAGGGAAACTGGTGCTGACTTTTCTCCAAAATAGTAATTGTAAAGAAAGAATTAGCTGAATAGATCACTTTCTTTAGCTTGTTATATGGTTTGAATTGTTAATTCCCATCTGGCACAGCAGATGCTATCGAAGGCACCACTTTGTAGAAGCCTATATAATACACTGTTAACCTCTAAGACCCACCAGTTTTCTTCCAGTTTTCATGTGAGAATACTAAACACAGACTTTGTAGACACTAGTTCAACTGCACTTCATATATCTGCAATTAGGACTGAAATCTCTTGCTAATCCCAGATGTTTCAAATGAACCAGTTGAGTTCTTTTAGGTAGTTCTCTTCTAGCATGTGCGATTAAAAACCGGAACAAAAACCAGATTTACCCACATTCATTTTCATAACAGCTTGGATAAGGGAAGAAATCTCATTCAAATTTTACATCCATACAAATAAGATATTCAGCAAGTGGTGATGCAACTGTCACACATAACTTCTTTTCACAAATTTTCATATAGGCTCATAACTTTGCTTTTAAATTTTTTACAGTAATACTGCTATAATTCCATGACATAATCATATTGATATTTAATTTTTATTAAATGGTTTATTCATCATAGTACCTTGTGCACCATTGTTTAACAAACACAATAAAGTTCTTCCATCAGCTTTAGACAATTTAACCCCCACAAATGTGAAGGCCCTAAGTTCCCAGTGGGGGATTTTGCCAAGACCTTGGTCATGGCCCCTCAGAACTGAAGCCTTTTTCTTCACTTTATACCATCTGGTTTTAAAGGAATTGTGGATTTATTTGCACATTTCCTTCAGATTTCTTTGATTCATTAAGGCTAGGATAAATTGGGTTGCTATGCCATAGCTCCTTTAATGTCTGAGGAGTTCGCCCAGTCTGGGACCGTCGTTCATCAATGACCTTAGAAGGCAGCCTATTCATATTCCCCCTTTTCATTGTCTTTATTAACCATCTAAAGACTTCACTTTTCCTAATATATTATTTACCTTTCAAATATGTTATTTCCTTTCTTCTGAATAACTTGAGTCTTTTGCACATGGGTCAGTCCTGCACTAAACTGCAGTTTAGTAACTGCAGTTACAAACAATACCATGACGTGCTCCTTCATGTAGTTTCCCTTTCATAACAAGGTTACATTTGAAGCTCACATCATACGAGAGGAGTTCCCATTGTTATAACAATATTAACCAATTCAATGTGGCTTATAGTCTCAACATATTAACATCCTCAGTGGAGTATTCCATTTTGAAATCAAAATGGAATAGGATGAGGAAAATTTCTTTTCATGCTTAAGAACTCTTGAATTTCTTCTTTAATCCAGATTAACAAATTAGGGGTAAGATTAGGAGAATTTGCATACACAAGCATAATGGTAACGACAGATACTAACAGAGGGTCTTATAGATTCAATTGTTGTGTATCAAGTTCTTGAATTCATCAAGGCCATGATCATTTGGAACCAAATGTCGCATCCTACCCATTGTGTCCAGAGGCAATAAAATTGCAAACTTTGTTACTACATAAAAGCTATTGTCATTAAGGTCCCTTTGGGTGCTGCTTGTATTTGCCCATGAAATTAGTCAATTTCCTGATAAGATATCTCCTAGTTTCGGTAGTTTCCTGCTTGGAAATTTCAATTCTACAATTATTTCAGAATGATGGGTTAAATAAGTGCTTGCCACCTTTCTACCTTTCATTGGGATCATTTCTCCATTCCTAGACACGCAATAATCAGTTGCAACTTTATCCTGCACTTCTAATTTCTCTGGAAGTGGTTTTATATTTACTGTCTTGTTCCTTATCCATTTAGCTATCCCCTGGCTCTGGATCTATTACCTCTAAATTCAATTGAAAAATCTTTACAGTGAATGATCTCAGAGCTTGTTTAATCTCAGACTGGGACTGGCTCAGCAGTCAGCTTTGTAACCAAAGATTTCTTATTCTCCTTTTCTCGTCTTCTTTCCTCCTGAGCAAAGTTGTAGTCATTTCACTTGAATTAGGGGGACCTTTCAATGTCAACTGTATCAATTATGATTTTCTGGAATATTAAAAAGACTCATACGACTCCACAAAGTATACTTAAATAATGCTTTATTAAAGGTAAAGGATGATCAGCAGGAGAAAGCGATCACAAGCAATCCCTAGGGAAGTCCAAGACATCTAGGTACAGCTTCCAAATGTCTTCATTAGTCACACAGAATATGCTTTGACAATGAATAGTGAGCCACGGCACACACAAAATGCCTTGGTCTCAGGAAAGCAAGTTTCATCCAGGGAGAGGTTTTACACCTTTTGGGTCATGTAGCCAAAACAAGTCTACATGATCAAGTTCAGTAACAGAAATTAAGATTACATACATAACAGAAAGCAAGCACAAACTATTAATCTGTACATTTCATATAAACAAGACTGAACAGCTTGTACATGCCTGGACAGAAGAGAAGTTCAGAACCCTAGTGTGGAAACACAGTCACTCTATGGCTCCAGGCATACCCTGGAGATAAACGTAGGATAGAAAGAGACTAGCTGAGATTAACAGTGTAATTACACAGTAGCTTCGTGACCAATGGCAAATTTTTAAAGTTTATTATGATTTAATTTATATATATATAGATTAATAAAAATAATATCTAAAATAATAGTATCATGTTATACTTAAGTGCAATATGGCATGTAAATTGCAGAGTTTAGTGTCATCAAATAGTAAGCAAATTTTAAAAATAGAACCAGTGCTCCAATATATATTGTGTATTTGCCATGATCAAAGCAGTATCTTAGGCTGACGATGTCACACACCATAATTTGTCACAGTGACTCATCAAAGCTCATAATGAAAACATCTGTGAGTAAAATCAGAAAGGAAATATACAAGTTTAGCAAAATTTATCTATCTGTTCTCCCCAACTCATCCTTTTTCCCTTCCTTTTTTCTCCTAATTTTAATTTCATTCATTTGCTGAATTTAATTTAATTTCCTGTGTACACAGAACTCAGCTTGCCATAGAGCTGGAACTCTGTAGAGGGAAAAACTGTGGTTATATCAGCTCTCTGTTAAAAACAAGAGATTTAGATAAAAATATAAATACATAGTTTTTATTAAGAAATAAGAGACAATAATGCCTGCTTTCAAAAGGTAATCAGATTTAATTTTGTATGATGTACATGGGCAGCGATAATTTCTAGCACCCATCCCATTCATTTGCTTATTAATCATGATTTGTGTTGAATTATATGCATGGCCAACTAGCATTGACTGTAAAATAATGTATGAGTGCAGTCCCTGCTACTTCTTCCATCTTTCAGATGGTGCCATTACCCTCCCTTATTGGTGTGCACTTATATTTAGGGGGAAATCTTGCAAAAAGAGTGGCTTGGCTGACTTTGTGGTCAACCCCTTCAAGTAAAATAGGAATGAATTGGGCTGGTGTTTTTTCTATGCCCAGCACTGATGTGTGCCAAGCATAGCAGACCAAGTGCACATATGCAATATAATCAAGTTAAAACTGTACTGGATTCAAACATTTAGAGCAATTTTATTGAAAAAGTTATTTCTATGAACCCCTTTTATCAAATGAAACTTTACATGGAACCTCTACATGTAAAATATATACAGATGGAAATGCTCTTTTTAACTCGGGAGGATGACTTGAGTATTGACTTCTCAAAGCCCAACCTTATCCAGGGCTTTAGTTTAGAAAAGTTAACTATAGCTACTCTGTGGGGTCATATTCTCAAAGAAAAATAGTAACAATAACAAAAACATATGACTTTAATTCCTATTCCATAATATCAGAATCATAGAACTGGAAGGAAACTTGCCAGTCATAGTCTCGTCTCGAGGTCACAAACTCACACATCTTTAGCATCGCAGGTGTAATATAAACACATCCTACTGTGACATGGCAGGAAGTGGAGAAATCTGAGTCCTAATTGGTGAGCACACTCCCTGACTGAAACCATCCCAATTCATTTTTGTTGACACACAAACAAAACCTCTGTGTCCCTTATCTAGTGGCCAGTTTGACCCCAGATTTTGCTCTATCACTGCATTTTGAGAACCAGGAAATCGAAACCTAGAAAGATTAAGTCTTATGTTTAACATCTCTCATTTCCAAGGCCACATTCAACTCATTATCTCATGACTGGAGAAAGGAATCTCAAACTATTTGTGAAGAATAATTATTTGAAAAACATATTTTATATTTTTGAACAATATTTTCCAATTTTAATCAGTTGCAGTTCAGACTTTGTAAAATAAAGGAAAAATAAATTAATTTTTAATTGAAATAATAAAAGATCTACAATATGGAAGCCCCAATTTGAAAAAAAAATTATTTAAGCCAATGCATATAAAATCTCTGCAGATTATTTTGGAAGTTCCTAAATGCTTACTGTTATTGTACTTACCTCCTTAGTGTACTGGAAGAAATAAACAAAAACTGGTGCAGGTCTATGGGCCACACTTTAAGTAGCACTGCTACAGGGACTCTGGGTTTAATCATAGGGTTAATTTAGGACTCCTATGCTGGCCTTTGCCTTTGCTTGTCTAGGAGAGCTCATAATCAACTATGTTCTTTAAATAATGATCACTGACCTTCATTTTTATCTGTAAGTCTCTGTGGTGGTACCATGGCTGCTTAATGAACAAATTTTGTAAGAAAGTCAGCCATAGGCTTCTATCTTTAGAGCATTTATAAATAGCCAACAGATATAAGGTAGACTGGGATATATCCTGTCCCTTGGAAAAAATTGCAAAAGTCAGAATGCAGAAACATTTAACTGGGGCTTCGTTCCTGTGTTTTCTTTTCTTTATATCTGGAAACAAGTTCAGCTGAGTCAAACGTTCTTGCTTAATTAGTTGGTATACAGACAGAGTAGAATAATAACTCAGTGGATTTTCAAAAGCACCAGGTAACTTAATAGCAGTTAGTCTCTCAACAGCAAAAAAATTTATTAGTCCTTGTTCTTACATTTAGAGTTAATTTGGGAACATTCTTTATGGTTATCCAGAAATTACATTATTAAAGTGAAGCAAACCCTCCCCACCTAAATCTTTAGGATTCTCTTGACTTAGAATTTAGTCATTTTAAAATCTCAGTTTTTGTATCTAATGAAATGTTGATTCATGGAAAGGCTTGAATTTTTTTTTTTTTTCCAGACAGAGTCTCACTCTGTCGTCCAGGCTGGAGTGCAGTGGCACAATCTTGGCTCATTGCAACCTCCACCTCCGGGGTTCTGGGTTCAGGGTTCAGGGTTCAAGTGATTCTCCTGCCTCAGCCTCCCAAGTAGCTGGGATTTCAGGTGCCCACAACCACACCAGGCTAATTTTTGTATTTTTAGTAGAGATGGTGTTTCTCCATGTTGGCCAGGCTGGTCTTGAACTCCTGACTTCAAGTGATCCACCCACCTTGGTGATCCACCCGCCTCGGTGATCCACCTGCCTCAGCCTCCCAAAGTGCTGGGATTACAGGTGTGAGCCACCATGGCTGGCTAAAAGGCTTGAATTTTTTAAGGCATGAATATTGGAAAAGAAGAAAAAAGAAAGGATTTGAATATTTGGCAGCTGTTCTATTTGAAAAAGAATGTATTGACTTCCTCTGAAGAAGTGTTGGGGGAAATAAAGTCACTGAGGCTTGGAAGAGCTTTGAACCCCTATTTTTCAGAACTGGTGGTATCAGGGCACCTACACCTAAAAATGTCCCTTTTCCCAAATGAGGCATTGCCTTATTTCTCACTAAACCAGGCCCTTTATAAAGGTTTATTCAGGAGAGCGGACTGGCATCCAAACAGCATCCATAGAAATTCATTAATATGGATACAAAATATTATCTCAACTTACTAAGGAAGAGAAGTATGTCAGACACTTGTTCAAAGCCATGACCATAATATGTGCTGGCAGCCTACTCGAAATATTACAGTTACTCTTTGTAGAGAGCAAAAATTGTGAATCTAGGCTGTGTTGTGTTGGTGCTGCCTGCTTCCCCAGCACACTCAATTGTGGCATGAAGACCTTGAGGCTCTAGGCCCAAGTCTTCCAGGCATTCAGCCAAACTGGCTTGGACAAAACTGCCAGAATATTGTGAACCCCACAAGTGCATAGAAATTTGAAAATAATTTTGTTGCATTAAGTTTGGCAGAGTATGCTGTATCTCTTACAGGTCATCTCTACTTGAATGTCTCATTATTTGTCTCAAACTTAACGCATGAAAAAACTAGGTAAGACAAAAATAATGGTTGTTCCCCTCCACACTGCCTGTGTTAGCGTCTCTTTCAATATCCCTCGTGTACGTCTAGTGGATATACACCAAGGCACCCAGTTACCTGTGACCTGTGAGTGGCCATGTGTTTACCCCGATGCAACTTAACACCAACTCCCCTCATTTCTATCTTCTTTATTTTTGCAATATATACTATTTTTCTATGCCTTTACCCGTAGTCCTTTCTCTTATGTTTGAATTGCCATTAAAACACATATCCTGGACTCAAGACTTTCCTTATAATTAATTCTCACATCACTGCCATATCAATTTTTCTAAAATTTAGGTTCCAATTTTGTCATATTACTTGCAAAACCCTTCACTACTACCTCCCGTAATTCGAACTATAGGGTGAGATCAAATTCCCTTAGTAAAGACTGGGAGAACTTTCCTTCTAGGAACACTGGTTTCTGCTCCAGCCTAGAGTAGAAACTCATAACCAATCTCTGTCTAATTCTAAGACAAAGGTTTTTTATTTGAGGATGATATTGTGTGAACTCAGTCAATATCATCCTCAAAAGGCCTTTGTTTTAGAGGCAAAGACTAATGAATGAATAAATTTACATGACTTAAGAAAAATTAAAATCTTCAGTGTATATTTTATGTACCTTTCCAATGAACTGACTAGCGAATAGTCTTGGTTACCTTGCATGAGAAGGCTTCTAAATTTCCTTTACACCCATCCTTTAATGCATTCTGTTTTCTCTGCTTAGAGTATTTGCCTTCCATGTGTTTGTCCTTCTCCTTGTCCTCCGCTTCTCATCATTCATAAGTTAGCACAGTCATCCATTTCTCCAGGGGGCACCAGTCATGTCATCAAATCATGCCACTTCTTCCTGTTTGCTTATAAAAACATAATTCGACAGATTCTTACTTAAGAATATTTTCAAAGCAAACGAGCCTTTTTTATTGTTGTCCATTTATTTTATTTCTACAGTACAACGCAGGAAAACATATATGCATTTGGATATGTATTTTGTGGGAGTCTTTTTAAACAGTGTATTCATCCTTTATAGATTAATTCATTCTCCCCACCAAGTCAATAACCAAATGCCCAACAGAGTTTGGTAGGAGAAACAAGCCAGTACATACTTTTGTTTAACAATCCCAGGTTGCAAAGAGGCTCTCCTAAATGAGGTCAGAGACCTTCCTAAGAGAAAACAGTTAACTTGATCCTGGACAAGCATTGTGAATTGTGAATGACAAGACTGTTAACCACGAAAGGGCTCAGTAGTCACGTATGTCAACTTGCCTGTACAATATTCCTTAACTCAGCTTTTCAAGCCCTGCCAGAATGTCCCTGGGCATGACAAATTCCTTCATCCCCAAATAAGTCTTGGTTGTAGCTTTGATCCCACAAACTTTTCTTCCTTAGGGGAGTTAAATAAGAAACCATTTCACTGAAATAATAGAATAATAGTTTATGCTTATATAGGTCTTACTATTTATTGAGTATAAGTGCTTTACATAAATGAACACTGTTCAAGAGCAAAAATTGATAAATCATAGGCAAAACAAAGTGAAACAAAGTACAAACTAATTTTAGTCTCCATTTTCAGTGTGACTTTCAATCTTCTAGGCTATTTATGACCCTTCCCTGGAAGGCATGTTGAATAAATCACATACTTTTTTTAAAGGTCACTCTTGGAGAATACAAAGTCCTGCAGTAACTTTTGGATCCAAGAATAGTCTCGACTTAGTAATTAAAATGTTTGTTCCTATTTTAATTAAAAAAAAAACTGCTAAATTTTATTTAGAGTTAACTCTTCCCTCTATCAGCTTCATTCAGGGAAGGCCATGTTGGTGCAGATGGCACTGCCAGCTTCTTTTCTCTTCCCCACCTAGTATTCCCCTTCTCTTCCTCCTGCCTCTTCCTCCAGTTCAGCTTCTTTTTTTTTTCTTTTTTTTGAGATGGAGTCTCGCTCTGTTGCCCAGGCTGGAGTGCAGTGGCGTGATCTTGGCTCACTGCAACCTCTGCCTCCCAGGTTCAAGTGATTCTCCTGCCTTAGCCTCTCAAGTAGGTGGGACTACAGGCACCCACGACCACACCCAGCTAATTTTTTTTCTTATTTTTATTTTTTGTATTTTTAGTAGAGATGGGGTTTCGTCATGTTGGCCAGGCTGGTCTCGAACTCCTGGCCTCAGGTGATCCACCTGCCTCGGCCTCCCAAAGTGCTGGGATTACAGGCATGGACCACCACACCTAGCCTCCAGATTTTAGATTTCTTAGGGATGAGTGTTTGACAGTGTGTTCACAGGATTTCCCACAGTCCCGCAGGCAGGTAGGTATCAGGCACGTTAAATGGTTTTCTTGAAGTCCCTCTTACTCCTCCCACTGCATCCTTGCTTTTCAAGGCATGCATAGTGGCCTAGCATCTTTTCTGGACATTTATATATTAGCAACAATCTAGTTGACCTACCTGGAACCTAAAGTAATATAATATTGTAGTTAAGAGCAGTTCAGAGCCCAAAGTTCATGGTCAGAGACCTGGATTTGAGTCCTTGTTCCATTACTTGTGAGCTACGTGACCTTTGGCAAGTTATTTAACCTCTCTAAATCACTGGGTTTTTTCAAAGGTAAAATGTAAATAATCATACGGCCTGTTTCATAGCACTGGTGAGAAGAATAAATTACATAATTTGGATAACACAGTTAACATAGGACTTAGCAAGTAACATTAATACCAATTTTACTTATCAATGAAAATCATCAAACTAATTATTGCTTCCTAGTCTCAGGGATGCGGGCTGTCATCCTGAGTGTTGAGCATCCTATTCAGGTAGTTATTAAGCTTTCAGGTAGCTGGCAGTTTCAGGCAGCTGGCAACAGCTGCTGAACTGAAATACAGAGAATAAATGCTGAGACATGAATCTGGCTACCGTAAGACATATTGCCTACCCCACCCTGAAATAGCCACATTTCTACAATTTTTTTCTGACCTAAAGAGGAAATATAAGGTGATTTTCTTTCCCTAAATATTGACTCCAAAATCATTCAAAGACACGCAAAACTTGATACCTCTAGAGAGTAAAATAGACAGGTATTCTCTATGTTTCTCTTTTTGTTTTCTAAAGTCTGTATCTTTAATTTAATTTGTAGCAGTTCAATTTAAAACTCTGAATTCCTAAACAATATATTAAATGATTACATTTTCTGTGATCTATGGTAATATATTTTTTTTTCATAGAGTCTGTATAGGTCTATAAAGAGTATGCTCCTTCATGATACACCCAATAATGAATTCCTTTAATCCATTATTAGATAGGATTCAGAAATTTAGCTTTGACTGTGGAGATTTCTTATTATTTTATCTGAGTGAGGCTTGAGATTTGCATTTCTATTAACCTCCTATCTTTTTTTAATGTTGTTTTTGAACTATTGGTGCTGTGGCTGACGGCAGAGGCTGAAGACTGCATTTGGTACCAGCACTAGTTTAATGTTCCGAATCTCTTAAAAAGTGAGAGCTTGCCTTGCAGTCTAAACAGTGTAGAAGACTGTGAGAAATAAACTAGCTTGATGAGATTAAGTCCTTCATGGGAGAGATATGGTTGCCTTGTACTTCAACCACCCTAATTGATCTTCAGAGACTAGTTTGAGGTATTGACTGCTGCGGTCCCAGGAAGGCCAATGGATAGATGATTTTGCCCCCAAAAGTCCTAGCACTAAGGGTTGCTGGATTAAAGTCCTCAAATAGTATGAGTTAAATATAGGTTTATCTCCAACTTTATATACAATAAAAGTATTCCCAATTTTATTTCTAGAGAATAGCACTAAGAGATGATCTCATCCCTCTAAGGTTTGTGTACGACAGAAAAAGGAAGAAAGTAAAGAATAAAAATCTGAGATTTACCCCTAAACTAAACTAGTAACAATTTATTATTAGAAATATTGCCTTTCTGACTAATTACAAATTAAGTTGACTTGAATATCAGATAAAATAAATAATTTGCAATTAGATATCCTTTTGCTTTGTAGGGAGCATATAGCTCACAATTTTCATTCATAAAATCATAATGCTGTACACTTTTGGGAAAACTTCAGATGGCTTTTCTACTTTCCAACTCCCAAAGTGAACATTCATCATTGTGTGGGAACTGCTATTCATTCTGTGAAATTATGACACCTTTTAGGAAACATCAAGATACTTAAGATGCATGAACAACTAAAAATAAAATATAATCTATATGATGGCTCATTCAACACTCAATAAATATTTCTGGATAGCTACTACATTTCAAAAACTTAACTATGTTTTAGAGCTATAAGAGGAAAGATGTATTCTCTACCGGCCAAGAAATTCTTACCATTTTTAGCGAAATAACAAAACAAAAGTTTTCATGTAGTCACTGTTCATTGCAATAATGATACATACATTTCATTACTATTATATTTTATGTACTTATCTTCTTCATGAGATTGAAGGCTTAAAAAGGCAATAACTGATTCTTATTATTTCTATATCTCCCTATCTACACATATGTCTATTGTAGCAGCCAACTGCCGCCCACTGCAGTTTTGCTTTCTACACATTCAGTTACCTGCAGTCAAATGGGGTCCAAAAATATTAAGTGAAAATTCCAGAAGTAAACAATTCATAAATTTAAATTGCATGCCTTTCTGAGGAGCATGATAAAATCTTTAACCCTCCCACGCCATCCCACCTGGGATGTGAATCATTTCTGTGGCCAGTGTATCTACACTGTTCATGCTACCTGTCAGTTACCAGTTAGTCCCTTAGTAGCCTTCTTGGTTATCTGATCAACTGTTTCTCACTATATCTCAGTGCTTGTGTTCAACTAGTCCTTATTTTACTTTTATTACAGCATATTGTTATAATTGATGTGTCTCATTATTATTGTTGTTTGTTTGTGTCTAATGTATAAATTAAACTTTACCATAAATATGTATGTTTAGAAAAAAATGTAGTATACACAGGGTTCAGTACTATCTGAGGTTTCAGGCATCCACTGCGGATCCTGGAATATATAAGGGAGCATTACTGTACATGTAGATGTATGTCAAATTGTTCAGGTCAAATTAAAATTAAATTAAAAAATTTGTAAATGACCTTTTGAAAATTATTCATAAGGTCAGAATAGTAAAAATGTTGTGTTCTTAGTTTGTTGGTTAATTATACATTTCTAGAGGCTAAACCTTGACTATATATAACGTTAATTCAGCTTCTTTGAGAAAAATAATATGACTAAAAGCTCAAAAATGTTTTCCATAGGGTAACAAAATTATTCCAAAATGAGTTAGTTATAACGATCTCTATGAATAGCTCATTCTGAAAATGTTTAACAGTTTATTTAAAAACATGTCTAGAATTTTTAAGCTATGTAATAAATATATACATTTACAATAATTGGCATAGGTGAAGATTCATTCTGAGGCAGCAGGTCACGATGGGAAGAACAGTTGTTCTGGAGCCATGGTGCTCTGGGTTGAATGCAAGCTGTGAGACCTTAGACAATTTGCTCAACCTCTCTCTGCCTATACTTTCACAATTAGAATATGGATATTATATTAGTATCTAACTCCATGCAGTTATTGTGAAGACTAAATGAGCCAGTTTATGTACAATGCTTAAAGGTATGCCAGACATGCAGCAAATGCTCATTGTATTAGCTATGATCATTATCATCACCAGTAACAGAAGTGAAAGTAGCAATAGAAGAAAAGTAATGGTGCTAGTATTAGGAGTAATTAGCATTAGTAGAAGGAACAACATTCATGATTATAGGGTGCAGTTGGGAAGAAAAGAGATGATTCAGTATCTTCACTTTTTGTGTGTGATTTTCAACTTCCACATAGATAGACCAATAGAAACGAGCTAATGTTGCCTTACAAGAGAATCCTATTTGACTTATAGGAATGCCTTATGGTATGGTTTGGCTCTATGTCCCCACCCAAATCTCATCTGGTAGCTCCCATAATTTCCATGTGTTGTGGGAGGGACCCAGTGGGAGATGATTGAATCATGGGGGCAGGTCTTTCCCATGATAGTGGGTGGGTCTCACAAGATACGATGGTTTTACAAACGAGCGTTTCCCCGCACAAGCTCACTCTCTTTGCCTGCCACCATCCACATAAGATGTGACTTGCTCCTCCTTGCCTTCCAACATAATTATGAGGCCTCCCCAGCCACGTGTAACTGTGAGTCCAATTAAACCTCTTTCTTTTGTAAATTGCCCAGTCTCAGGTATGTCTTTATCAGCAGTGTGAAAATTGACTAATTCAATAAATTGGTACCAGTAGAGTAGGGTGATGCTGTAGATACCCAAAAATGTGGAAGCAACTTTGGAACTGGGTAACAGGCAGGGACTGAAACAGTTTGGAGGGCTCAGAAGAAGACAAGACAATGTGCAAAAGGTTAGAACTTCCTAGAGACTTGTTGAATGGCTTCGCTCAAAATGCTGATTAGTGATATGGACAATAATGTTCAGGCTGAGTTGGTCTCAGATGGAAATGAGGAACTTGTTGGGAACTAGAAAAGAGGTGACTCTTATTATGTTTTAGCAAAGAGACTGGTGATATTTTGCCCCTGCCCTAGAGATTTGTGGAACTTTGAACTTGACAGAGATGATTTAGAGTATTTAGCAGAAGAAATTTCTAAGCAGCAAAGCATTCAAAAGGTGACTTGAGTGCTGTTAAAGGCATTCAGTTTTAAAAGGGAAACAGAGCATAAAAGTTTGGAAAATTTGCAGCCTGATGATGTGAGAGAAAAGAAAATTCAATTTGCTGAGGGGAAATTCAAGCTAACTGTGGAAATTTGCATAAGTAACTAGGAGGTGAATGTTAATCACCAAGACAATGGGGAAAATGTCTCCAGGGCATGTCAGAGACCTTTGCGCAGCCCCTCCCATCACAGGCCTGAAGGTTTAGGAGGAAAAAGGGGTTTCATGGGTCTGGCCCAGGGTTCCCTTGCTGTGTGCAGCCTAGGGACTTGGTGCCCTGCATCCCAGCTTCTCCAGCCATGGCTGCAAGGGCCAACGTAGAGCTCGAGCCATGGTTTCAGAGGGTGCAAGCCCCAAGACTTGGCAGCTTCCATGTGGTATTGAGCCTGCAAGTGCACAGAAGTCAACAATTGAGGTTTGGAACCTCCTCCTAGATGTCAGAAGATGTATGGAAATGCCTGGATGCCCAGGTAGAAGTTTGCTGTAGGAATGGGGTCCTCATGAAGAACCTCTACTAGGACAGTGCAGAAAGGAAATGTGGAGTAGGAGCCCACACACAGAATCCCTACTGGGGCACCACCTAGTGGAACTGTGAGAAGAGGACCTCCATCCTCCAGATGCCAGAATGGTAGATCCACTGACAGCTTGCACCATGCACCTGAAAAAGCTGCAGACACTCAACAACAGCCTGTGAAGGCAGCTGGGAGAGAGGCTGTACCCCACAAAGCCACAGTGGCAAAGCTGCCCAAGACCATGGGAACCCACCTGTTGCATCAGTGTGCCCTGGATGTGAGACACAGAGTCAAAGGAGATCATTTGGAGCTTTAAGATTTGACTGCCCCTCTGGATTTCAGACTTGCTTGGGGCCTTTAGCCAATTTGTTTTGGCCAATTTCTCCCATTTGGAATGGCTGTATTCAACCCAATGCCTGTCCCTTCATTGTATCTAGGGAGTAACTAACTTGCTTGTGATTTTACAGGCTCATAGGCAGAAGGGACTTGCCTTGTCTTGGATGAGACTTTGGACTGTGGACTTTTGAGTTAATGCTGAAATGAGTTGAGACTTTGGGGGACTGTTGGGAATGCATGATTGGTTTTGAAATGTAAAGATATGAGATTTGGGAGGAGCCAGGGGCAGAATGATATGATTTGGCTGTGTCCCCACACAAATCTTGTCTTGTAGCTCCCATAATTCCTACATGTTGTGGGAGGGACCCAGTGGGAGATTATGGAATCATGGGGGTGAGTCTTTCCCATGCTGTTCTCATGATAGTGAATGGGTCTCATGAGATCTGATGGTTTTACAAACTGGAGTTTCTCTGCACCAGCTCTTTCTCTTTGCCTGCCGCCATCCACGTAAGATGTGACTTTGTCCTGTTTGCCTTCCTCCATGATTATGAGGCCTCTCTAGCCACATGGAACTGTGAGTCCAATTAAACCTCTTTCTTTTGTAAATTGCCCAGTCTCAGGTATGTCTTTATCAGCAGTGTGAAAACGGACTAATATACCTTACTTATAACTTTTTAAATGAGGCAACTTTGGTAATTTATGAAAAATGAGCTTCTCTAATATCCAGATATTGATTTTCAATTATTTGAAAGCACAGCGGCTGTGCTGTTTTGGTGGGTCCAGCAGGACAATGATTATCTCATGAAAGATAATTCTTAATTCCATTGTCAGAAACAGAGTGTGAGACTGGATTCCATCCAGAATGGAAAATCACATTTTTCTGTCTCACAGATATTTATTTCTACTTTGAACAAAAGGCTTAGTTTTGTTTGCAATTACAATCACTGAACTAAAGCTTAAAATATAGTAGAAATGCTTTAAAATATAACATTAACATCTTAAAGCCAAACAGTCAAATGATGATATTTTTCATGTCATTACTTTGGTGTCAGGAAAACCCAGATGAACTCCAGTATGAGAGCATGACTTTTAATATAACAGTACATTTCAGGGAATTGATAGATATTAACTACTAGATTTAGTTTTCAAGGGAGAGGTTGTGTCATTGAATTTAATGGTAATGGAGGAGGGAGACATGTTTTTTTATAACTCCCAGACTAGCCATTTTTGAGTCTCTAAAATAAAAAAAGATAGTAATTTCCTTTAAGATATAATTCCTGTTAGAAGCTGAAATTGGTCTCTATTATACTACAGTTTGCTTAAACACTTGCCTTCATTGCCAGAAAATGAGCCCTTCAAATTAAGGATCACGTCTTCATCAATTTTGATGTTGCAAATGGTATGATTTCCTTAATCCCTCCAGCAAAGAAGTTTATTTAATGGAGAAACACATGAGCAAATGATGCAATTAAAACATGGAACATTACTAGTCTTTCTTCTGCCATGTTATGCCATCTCTGTGTCATCCTAAGCAAAGTGAAGTGGAAACCTTGATCGTGATCTTAACAACCATAACTGCTTAATAGATTGATCTCATAGGCTCAGTAGAGAATGAAAAGAGTTTCTGAAATCCATATTGTGCAAGTCTCTAAATATCCTTTCTGTCAAATCTTTCCTCAAAAGCTAAGCTCAAAGGCTGTCTTTGAGCTATAATACCTACATGCTTCTCTGGGGTTCTTGTAGTACTCACCACAAAGCCAGATTGCTAAAGAGATTGCAGAATGGACAACAATAAAAAGGGAGTTATTTCAACGTGATCCAGCAGCCTGCAAAAAAAAATTGAGAAAAACTGCTTACTCTTTCATGAAAATGTCAAGCCAGCTTCAAGAAGCAATAGCATCTTCTCAAGCTGTAGAATTTTGTGTTTATTGTCTCCCTCCCAGTCATTTTGTCTCGACATCCCACATTTTTCTAGGCAGAACAATATGAGAACATGGAAGACGTACTTTTCCAATTTGCATGCCACAGAACTCTCAAAGGTCATGAACCTGCAGGATTTCAAGATAGGGATCCCAAGGAATATTGGCAGACAAATAACACACTGATTCTAACACAATTGAATTGAGTAATAATAACTGAAAAATTCTTCATTCACATCCAAAATAAAATTAATTTAATAATTTTAGAATTAAAAATAATCTAAGGTTACTTGAAGGTTTATCTGTCTCTCACCTAATTAGGAAGGTATAATATATTAACCTGAGGTGGGGTAATGTGACAGAAAGAAATTGGCCACGGGTTCCATAAATGCAGGAATATTATCTGCAGCAAAAAAAGAGAGAACTCTAACTTAAACCTGATCAAGCCATGAGTGAAGAATATGCATTCATTTTTAGCATAAATATTAGAATAAAATATTGGCAAACTGGAATTTATGTGGTTTTGAGCAGTCCGTATGGAGATGCAGAGGAAAATGCCACATAACAATTGATGGTGGAAGTGGGAAGACTTAGCTTGGAGATAAAAGATTTTGGAGAAACATAGTTTTGCTCTTAAATATGTGATGAAAGGATCACACTTATTCAGATGGTCCCAAAAGGAGGAAGTAGAGCCAATGTGAAGTTGATTTTGTCTCATCAATGGAAGGTTGATTGTTTCAATCTACTTTAATGGTAGATTGGTATGATAATGGACTGAACTTTCTTGGTAGTGGATGAATTGTGAGTTCATCTACAAGCATTTCTGATGGTGTGAAAAAGTTTTAAGTGTACAATGTGCTGTTAGCTTGGTTTATCACTAATCAAACAGAGCTGCTTTAGAAAGTCTGGGGGCAGTATTAATGATTACCCTGGGCCCACAATTGTAAATGAGACTGTCTTGGACAACTGTGGATGAATGGGCATCCTGCCAATGAGGTGTCATTCCACTCTGCTTTGCTGTGAGAATGTTGCCAGGGAGTTTCTCTTACAGACCTTCCTGATTTTATTTTATTTATTTTTATTTTTATTTTTTATTTATTTTTATTTTTTGAGATGGAGTCTTGCTCTGTCACCCAGGCTGGAGTGCAGTGGCGGGATCTTGGCTCACTGCAAGCTCCGCCTTCCGGTTTCACGCCATTCTCCTGCCTCAGCCTCCCGAGTAGTTGGGACTACAGCCGCCCGCCACCATGCCCGGCTAATTTTTTGTATTTTTTTTTTTTTAAGTAGAGACTGGGTTTCACCGTGGTCTCGATCTCCTGACCTCGTGATCCGCCCACCTCAGCCTCCTAAAGTGCTGGGATTACAGGCGTGAGCCACCACACCCGGCCGACCTTCCTGATTTTCTAATGAAAAGGTTAGCAAATGTGATCTGGTCTCTTAAGAAAGTGAGCAGTGAGAAAGACAAACCCATACATATTTGTAAGCAGTAAGTTTTCACTTTTGTCAACCTTCCTAACTCTGTATTATCTGAACTCCTCCCACCCCACCCTTTTCCTATTTTAACTTCTCAGGTCTGTACACTTGCTGTTCAAATCCCTACCCCTACACACACACACACACACACACACACACACACACACACACACACACAGAGCAGTGTGGCATCCACAGCTAACTTTCTGGTTTTTATTTTTAATTGTTTATTTATATCTCTATGTGACAACATATCACACAAACACAGAACTTCCTGGACACTTCTCTTCACCCCAAGACATCTCATGTTCAAATTCCTATTATTTTGATTTAATTGATTAAATAAACTATGAATTAGAAGCAAAATTATGCTCCTTATACAGCTGATAAGTATTTCTATCAACTATCTATTTCTCTCTCTCTTAATCTTTTAAGGGGTTCTAGCACCTGAAAAATGATGCTTCCTCTCACCCTAATACAATTCCAATAGTTTGCATTTCAGCATGCTATATAGTCATGGCTCAATCTGCAACAAAATGGGGATAGAAAACCTGCCAACTCACCAGGATAGAGAAGATAACTGGGGGATAGTTAGGGACCAATACCAGATAAGTGGACAGTCTGCATCAAAGAAACTGGCAGGAAGTTGCTAGAACTTTAGGGAACAGAGTTCTGGGGATAGGTCCCCGAGAAGCCAGATCACTGAGCATAGAACCGAGCCAAGAAGAAAATGCAGAACTCAGCCAATAGAGTTAGAATTCCAGGCTGGAATGCAATCATTAAAAACAAAGCAAGAGTCTAGACAGTTGAGTTACCAACAAAACAAAACAAAAACAAAAACAGAGTTGGACAGGTAACAAAGTGAACACAAAGCTAGCGAGGAGTATTTGTCCTAGGAATGCCTGTGACATCATTCCTGAGGTCAGGGCTGTGGCCATGTCTGGAGTAGGCTGCTGCTGAGTTTGGAAGTTCAATGCCCCCAGGTTCTAGGATAAAGCAATGCAGAAGAAGAGAGATAGTGAGTCAATGTGGGACACTGACTAGTCTTGTCTCTTGGCTTCCCAGTGCCTGGAATCTAGGAATCTGAGAACTTTGAAGATGCTTTCTGTCTTTTAAAAAAAAATTTAAGTTCTTTTTAAAATTTAAAAATATTTTAAAGATTAATAAAAATAGTATTTATTCATTGTGTAAAATGTGATGATTTGACATACATATACATTATGCATTAATAACCACAGTCCAATTAATTAACACAACCATCATCTTTCATCATTGTCATTTAGTGTATGTGTAGTGAGGAAACTTAAAATATGCTCTTTTATTATATTTCAAGTGAATAATCTGATATTATTAATTATAAGCACCATGCTGTACCTTAGAGCTCCAGGACTTATCAATCTAATAACTGAAAGTGTATGTCCTATGACCAACATCTTCCTGTTTCCCTGAACCCCTAGCCCTTAGTAACAATCATTCTATTCTCTGCTTCTATGAGTTTGACATTTTAGATTCCACATGTAAATGAGATTACATAGCATTTGTATTTCTGTGTGTGGCTCATTTCAAGTATCATAATGTCTTCCAGGTTCATCCATGTTGTCCCAAATGCCAGGATTTTCTTCTTTTTTTGTGGATGAATAGTATACTGTTTGTGTGTGTGTGTGTGTGTGTGTGCACTGCCACATCTTCTTTATCCGTTTATCCATTGACACTTAGGTTGTTTCCATATTTTTGTTATTGTGCATAATGCTGCAATAAACATGGGAGTACAGATATCTTTCCAAGGTACTGATTTCATTCCTTTGTATTTATACTTAGAAGTGGGATTGCTGGATCATATGTTGGTTCTGTTTTAATCTTTTGAGGACTCTCCATACTGTTTTCCATAACGGCTATCTCAGTTTGCATTCCCACCAACAGTGTGCAAGGATTCTTCACTTATCTCCATAACCCCACCAGCTCTTATTGCTTGTCTTTTTGTGGAAATGCTTTCTTAATATTTGCACAGCCATACGAATGTTCAGTACTTAAAATTGATGAGGAACTCACCAAACAATGACCCATTTAAAACAATCAAAAAGTTATTTTTTTGATAATAGGAGAACAGCAAAAACAAATGAAGAAATAATCTTTTAAAGACAACAATGCATGTATTTTGTATTCAGCAGACTTCAGATAACCCATTCTCCTTCAGCTCCAGCTCCAAACATTAATTGTCAGTAACATCAGGAAAGCAAGTCATACAGAAAGGTGTGATGACTTTTTTCATCCTAAGTTTTTAATATTCCTATTTGCCTCCATCTTGCCCTGCTTATTTCTGCTTTTCCCACTATTCATTTACCATAGGAATCTGAGTTTTCTGCCTTTCTTGTGACAGTTTTGCCCTTTTGCCCTTTGAAGCAACAGAGGGCCTCCAATGCAGGCAAATCGAAATACCATAAATTTTTTGCCACTCTGCTGTCCATAAGATCTGATCAGCACAGATATAGCAACAGAGTCTTTTTACATCTCTGCTTCTTGCAAGCTTTCTTTGAATTAAAACATACCTTTGAAGTATAGGAAACATATGGGGATGTAGAGAATTTCTATCTGTCAAACTGTGGTAGGTAGGACTCATGGGTAGCTATGATTTATTATGTCTAATAATTGACGCTTTCCAGATTACCCATGTGATCTTTATGGCAACCCTAAGAGGTAACTGTTATATCCTACTTCTACAGTTGAGTAAACTGAGAACTGTCCCACAGTTGGTTTGCAGCTGAGTTTGGACTTGAAGCCTGATATGTCTATTTTTCCAAACCTGCAAATTCTTAATACCTGTTATTTGGTGTATTTGTTTCCAGTTGGCTTAAACAACGCACATTTATTATCTCTCAGTTCTGGAGGTCAGAAGTCTAAAATGGGTTTCATTCTATTAAAATCATGTTGTCAACAGGGCTGTGCTCCCTCTGGATGGCTTAGGGAAGAGTCCATGCCTGGCATTTTTCCAGCCTCTGGTGGTTGCTGGCATTTCTGATCTTGCAGCTATTTCACTCCAATCTGCCTCCTTCTCCACATGCCCTTCCCTTCTATTTGTCTGTCAAGTTTCCCTCTGCCTCACTCTTTTTTTGTTTGCTTCTGAGACGGAGTCTTTCTCTGTAGCCAAGGCTGGAATGCAGTGATGCGATCTCAGCTCACTGCAACCTGCGTCTCCCAGGTCCCAGTTCAAGCAATTCTATTGCCTCAGCCTCCTGAATAGCTGGAATAAGAGGTGCACACCACCCTGCCCAACTAAAATTTTTTTTTTTTTGAGCCGGAGTATCACTCTGTCACCTAGGCTGGAGTGCAGTGGCACAATCTCGGCTCACTGCAAGCTCCGCCTCCCGGGTTCACGCCATTCTCCTGCCTCAGCCTCCTGAGTAGCTGGTATTACAGGCACCCGCCACCACGCCTGGCTATTTTTTTCTATTTTTAGTAGAGACCGGGTTTCACCATGTTGACCAGGTTGGTCTTGAACTCCTGACCTCATGATCTGTCCTTCTCAGCCTCCGAGAGTGCTGGGATTACAGATGTGAGCCACTGCACTCAGCCCCCTCTGCCTCATTCTTATAAGAACACTTGTCATTGGATTTAAGGCCCTTCTGGGTAACCTAAGATAGACTCTTTTGACTTGACTTTGTCGCTGAGGCTGGAGGGCAGTGACATGATCACCACTCACTGCCACCTCCACCTCCCAGGCTCAAGGAATCCCCCCACCTCAGCCTCCCGAGTAGCTGGGACCACAGGCACATGCCACCATGCCCGACTAATTTTTGTATTTTTTGTAGAGATGGGGTTTCACCATGTTGCCCAGGCTGGTCCCAAACTCCTGGGCTCAAGCCATGTGCCTGCCTCGGCCTCCCAAAGTGCTGGAATTACAGGCCTGAGCCACTGTGCTTAGCCTCAAAATTCATAACTTATCATATAATTTGTCATGTAAGGAAGCATTCACAGGTTTCATGGATTAGAACATGGACATATCTTTTTAGGGGTCACCATTCAGCCCACTACAGTTGGTAATTCGATAAGATGTTTAAATATATAAAGTTTTATTAAGAAGGTAAGCCTCATGTTAAGCATTCTTACCATAATAAAGAAGGAGAAGAAGAAGAAGGAGGGGAGGAGGGGAGACTAAGATAGTCATAAGGAGACCCAGCACACGTGCACAGAAGAGACACCACGTGAGAACATGTGAGAAGGTGGTGACCTGAGAGCAAAGGAGCGAGGCCTCAGGAGAAACCAAACAGCCAACACTTTCATCCTGGACTTCCAGCCTCCAGAACTGCTAGAGAATACATTTCTGTTGTTTGAGGTACTCATCAATCAATCAATCAATAAGATTTTTAAAATTTTGCCACTACCTCTGTCTTACCACTTTAAAAAATGATACATATTTTGTCACATAGGGCAGCATTAACAGGTTTGGAATATAAAGGGCAATTTTTCACTGATGTTCCTGGACGTCCCCACCATGTTAGTAGTAAGATCTCCATCAGTGGGGCCTACACAAATCATGTCCAGTGTCAGACATGTCAGGTGCCCCGTGGACAGCTGTGCATTCCCCAAAGACCTCGATGTGACACCTGCTGTCCTGTCAAATCCCTGTCATCCCATGGGTGTGTTCTGCCTTTTTTTTGTTGGGGCTTGGAAGAAATGTGAAGTATTCTTCCTCCTCTATCCCAACAACTTTTCCACATTTTGTGTTTTGAGTTCTAAATGCCTTCTTTCAAGAGAATAACAAATCTCATGTCGGCGAGCTGGAAGTAGTTGCTAGGCACTGGAGCTGTGGCCCCCATCCAGAATATTGTTTTTTTAAAAATGGATTGGCTGTGAAAAGTGGAGGTGATTTAATCCAGAGAGAAGAGGGGCTTGGGAAAGTTTCCCACGACCTGATGAGACAGGAGGTGCTCAGGTGTAAGTGTGAGCATGTGTCTAAGTGTGAATTCATGGGTACATTTCACCAGCATGCAGCAAAAGATGATGTTCCTGGGACTGGCCTCATGGGCAAAGAATCTGTGAAGTTATTAAAGCTACAGGTTTCTAGGCTTTCACCCAAACATATTAAATCTGAGTCTTTGAGAGTAGGTTCCAGGACTCTGGCTGGTTAACAATTTCATAAGATATCAGAGCAAAATTTGACACATGCTGCCCTTGTGAACAATGGGATAAGAAGGATCAGGTCATGAGCTTGAAGGGTGTTTGTATTTGGAAGCCCAGGCTGTGGGGAACAGAACCAACCAATAATGCGAGAATCAGGTTCCTCTTTACCAGGCGCTTGTTATTTTCAAGGAAACAAATCTTTTCTTCTGTTTTAAGTAACTTGATGTATATTGAAAGTTGATCAAATATAGATAACAAGACTTAAATATTGAGAGAAGATTTCTGGCTCAGTGAAGCTAGTCTTCTGTATCATGAGAGTCCTAATCCTCCTGCACTCTTCTTTCTGTGCCCTCCCAGGACAGGTACTTCTTTTCACTGTTCTGCAGGCTTAGGCCACTGCACTTTGGGATCTGACTTTATACTGCCGGAAACAAAGGGTACTATTTACATACTTGGCCTTAATATTGTGAAAGAAAAATAAACCTTATGGCCCTAAAATCGCTAAGCTAAAGGGAAAAGTCAAGCTGGGAACTTCTTAGGGCCAACCTGCCTCTCATTCTATTCAGTCACCTCTCTGCTCACTGAGATAAATGCGTATCTGATTGCCTCCTTTGGAAAGGCTCATCAGAAACTCAAAAGAATGCAACGATTTGTCTCTCACCTACCTGTGACTTGGAAGCCCCCTCCCTGATTGTGTTGTCCCACCTTTCTGGATGGAACCAATGTACATCTTACATGTATTGATTGATGTCTCATGTCTCCCTAAAATGTATAAAACCAAGCTGTGCCCCGACCACCTTGGGAACATGTCGTCAGGACCTCCTAAGGCTGTGTCACGAATGCGTGTCCTCAACATTGACAAAACAAACTTTGTAAATTAACTGAGACCTGTCTTGGATATTCAGGTTCACAATATTATGATCATGGTATGCTGGGGGCCATAACACGTTTGCTTCATGCTAGGCTGGCTCAACTTTGACCTCCATTGACACCAGATTTCTTCTTCTTCCTTAAATGGTGGATGATCCATTGATCTGGGTTACAGAGCTTCTTCCTGGTGGAGACACAGATGTCATTGTACATTCTTAGTCATCAGATAAAGTGCTCATTATGCCATTCTGCTACTTACAAGCTGTGTACTGTAGGGCAATTTACCCAGTCCGTCCAAGCTTCCTTCCTGAAAAAGCGATTATATAATATCATGGTGAAGAGTGAAAGAATTAATGCATATAAAGTGTTTATTATAAAAGCTGGCAAATATAAGTGTTCAATAAATGTCAGGTATTATTTTCATTGTTGTCATTGTTATTCATTTGCCTGAGGTAGCCCAAGTGCAAGCAGCGAAGCTGAGCTCAATTGTTTTCTGTCTGATTCTAAAGTCTGAGTTCTTTATACTCACTCTACCAGAAGGGAGAGATGGGGCTGCCCCTTCCCTTCCAACTGAACTCGGATGATGGTGGATGTCTGTGTGTGACACAGTCAGCGTCAGGTGCATGGAGGGCTGTTTGGTGTGATAATAGATTCCTAACTCTACAATGTGGGAGGAGGCATTGCCTATAGTTGCTGTAGATTAGCAGGAATCTTACATGCCCAGCTTTAAATAACTACCACTGTGTTAGTCTTCCTTGTTTACTGTAGCCTAAGTTAGGTGTTTTATCCAGTAAAGAGCTGGTGGTTACCATTTAACTCATGCCGTCTATCTTCTTTACAGAAGAAAAGGAAAAAAGGTGGTACTATTAAAATGCTTCTAACCAAAATGTCTTCCAATTTGATGTTCCCTTAGGAAAAAATGGCCAAAATCTTTCCAGGAAACATGTAGTGAAAGAAAAAAATACATGATGTGTTTATTATACTCCAATCTTAGGGGAAATGTTGAAACCCATTCTAAATTGAGCAATGATTCTTCAATGTTTTACAGATGCTTCTGAGGGGGAAAATCTACAGAAATGTCTCTCAATAAACAATGAGGATAACTATTTTTAAAATTTTATATTAAGCAGCCTATTAATGTTTCATTGTAGCAATTTTTTCCAAGGCAATTGACTTCAAAATATCTCATGATGAAAAATGTCTTTTATTTTAGTAAATAATAAAAATTAATGTCTACCCAACTGATGACTAGTTCCAAAAATTATCAGAAGGGAAAAATAACCATAATAATTTCTCCCCTGCCAAAACCATTTGGAGGAAAAAGATAATGTGCTTAATGCTTCTAGCCTTTCAAATAGATGAAAGCTTATAACTTATTTCCTCCACCTACGAAGCGTGTCCTGTGAGACGTAGAAGGATCTGGACTGTGTACCTCTGCTATTCAACACTTTGCTCTTTGTTGCTGGACGAAGGAAGGACTGGGCACTCCTTGATATGGACATACCTTTATCCTATGAGGGAACATGGCCTTCCCTCTTTATCCTCCAGAAAACAATAGCTGGAAGTTTTGGTAGAAACTTTGTCAAAGCCTGCCAATCCAGGATGGATCAATAGAGATATGCCATGTAGATCCAGAACAGGCAGAGAGCAAAAGTCAATGAAGGAAAGTTCAACACTAATCTTGTTTCTTTGAGTTCCTAGACTAGCCTCAGACTTCAGCTGCTCTTGTGAGCCTGGAACTCACTCAAAGTGGTGGGACTTTCTTGGTGTTTTGTCCTCTCTCCACTCCCACCAAACTGTGCCTTTGCTCTGGGGCAAGCTGGAGGCAGGAGAAAGCCTGCAGACCTCCCTCAGCTTTCTATCAGCGCTGGATAATGTGTCCAAAAAGGTTTCTTGGTCTCCCTCATGGGCAGTTGACCTTGGCATCTTCCCTCTCTTACAAAGCAGTGAATCTTTTTCTGGGCTTTGGAAGCGGGAGTATTTTCTGTCCCTCTTGCAGTGGCTCATGACTTTTGCTGGTAAGAGAGAAGGTTCTGGGGAAGTAGGCAGGGGCTCTGTCATTTCCCCTAGCAGCAGCTTTGACAGCCCAGGGAGAAGCAAGAGGGCTCTATTTTTTAACAGCTTTATTAAACAAACTTCACATATGTAACATGTACAATTTGATATGTTTGACATACGTATACACCTGTGAAACTATCACCACAGTCAAGATAATGAGTGAACCCACCACCTTCCTGTTCCCTCATGATCTTTCTCTCACCCTTCCCTATATCCCTTCCCATGCAACCAATGATCTGCATCTGTCAATATAGATTAGTTTGCACTTTTAGAATTTTTGTATACATGGAATCATGCAATATTTACTCTTGTATGTATGTACGTGTAGGTTTTCTGGCTTCTTTTACTCAGTATAATTATTTTGAGATTTATTCATGTTGTGTGCATCAATATTTCATCCTTGTTTATTGTTTAGTAGTATATCACTCTATGGATATACCCCAATTTGTACACTCATTCTCCTCTTGGTGGAAATTTGGGTTGTTTCCAGTTTCGGGCTATTAAAAATAAAGCTGCTGTGAGCATATGCGTCTCAATTTAAATAACAGAGAGAAGTTCTCTGAAAAAGTAAATGGTGTTTATTTGTGACTAGAGCATTGCAATGGGAATACACATGTTATAGTAAATTATGTGTGTATTCAGGGAGGTAAAGAAAGACAGAGTTTTTTAAAGAAAAAAACTAGGAGGATTACATAATTGTTTTTGAAATAATTACCCTTAACTACAAGGATTAATAAGAAGGGTGACACTAGTCCCAGGTTAGACAGGCAGTTGCTGGGCAAATGTCTTTGCAGAAGTATTTTTTTTTCTTTTTGTAAGGTTGCAATGGCCTTTGTACAAGGTTGTGGTTTTTGTAATCTTGTTCTTTATCAGGCATACAAACGTGAGAACTCCCTCTTCATAGCCTTCCGTGGCTCTATGTCAGGATTTTCCTGACATTAGTGGCTCCATTTTGATTCTGACAAATTGTATACACATGCAAGTCTTTGCGTGCCTGCAAGCTTTCTTTCTCTTGGGTAAATACTGAGGAGTGGTATGATTAAGTCATATAATAGGAATATGCTAACATTTTTATAAACTCCAAAAATATTTTCCATGAGGTTGTCACATTTTACCTTTCCACCAGCATTGTATCAGTTTTATTTCTTTCCTATCTTTACCAACACTTTGTATGAATAAAATCTCTGTAACCTAGGGTTAAACAATGAGTTCTTAGATATAATACCAAAAGGGTCATCCAAAAGATAAGTAATCAATAAATTGAACTGCATCAAATTAAAATTTCTTCTTTTTAAAAAACACTGAGTTAGAAAATGAAAAGCCATAGGCTGAGCTAATATTTGCAAAACACATATTTGATAAGATCTTTTCAAATGATATATTTTTTAACTCTCAAAACTCAATAATAAGAAAATGATCATTAAAAAAGTGGATATAAAATCTGAAGACACTTTACCAAAGAAGATATTTAGAAAACCAATAAGTGCAAGTTACACAAATTAAAAACCACAATGAGATGTCACTACACATCTATTAAAATGGCTAAACTGAAAAAACTGTCCTGTATTATTTGTTTTTAACTTCATAATTTTGAGATAATTATAAATAAACATGCAGTTACAAGAAATAAAACAAAGGAGTTCCCTGTACCAGGGGTTCCCAACCCGTGGGTCGTGGACTGGTATTGATCTACAGCCTGTTAGGAACCTGGCTGCCCAAGAGAAGGTGAGCAGCCGGTGAGTGAGCATTACTGCCTGAACTCCGCCTCCTGTCAGATCAGCGGTGGCATTAGATTCTCATAGGTGTGTAAACCCTATTGTGAGTTGTGCAAGTGAAGTATCTAGGTTATGTGCTCCTTATGATAATCTAATGCCTGATCTGAGGCAGAAGTTTCATCCTGAAACCATCCCCACAATCTCCTGGTCCATGGAAAAATTGTCTTCCACAATACTGGTCCCTGGTGCCAAAAAGGTTGGGAACTGCTGCCCTATACCATTCATCCAGTTTCCCCCAGTGGTAACATCTTGCAAAACTATAGTACAGGCCGGGCACAATGGCTCACGCCTGTAATCCCAACATTTTGGGAGGCCAGGGTGGGCGGATCACTTGAGGTCAGGAGTTCGAGACCAGCCTGGCCAATATGGTGAAACCCCGTCTCTACCTAAAATACAAAAATTATCTGGGCATGGTGGCAGGCACCTTTAGTCCCAGCTACTTGGGAGACTGAGGCAGGAGAATTACTTGAACCCAGGAGGAGGAGGTTGCCAAGATCATGCCACTGCACTCCAGCATGGGTGTCACAGGAAGACTCCATCTCAAAAAATAAAAAAATATATAAAAATAAAAAAAAAACACAAAACAACAACAACAATATAGTATAATATCGTAATCAGGAATTTGACATTGATACAATCCATAGACTTTCTTCAGGTTTCACCAGTTTTGCATGCATTCATTTGCATGTGTATTTGGTTCTGTGCAGTTTTAGCACATGTATAGGTTCATGTGAACACCACTTCAGTCAGGGACCAAAACAGCTCCCTCAGCAGACCACTCCTGCTACCCTTCTATGGCCACAGCCACTTCCTGAGAACCACTAATCTGTTCCCCATCCATAATTTTCTTATTTGTATTCTTTTTAAATTCCTGTTTTTCTCTTCCCATGATCACACCACAGCTGCCACAATCCCTTGAACTTTGGTTCAAATTCTCAGCCCTGCTAAAGGTACTAACAGAGTCACAGAGGAGGCTCTTGAGGATCTTTCCTTTGGAGAAATTGCCAGTGAAAATTCAGCAATACATGGGAAGTGAGATCCAACTTAACAACTTTGCTATTAATAAGCAGACTTGTTTCAAATGTACAAGTCAAAAGACTATCAAAACTAAACATCTGAAACCATGTCTTATTAAATATGCTTAGTTGAATTAAATAAAATTATTCAATAGAATTAAATAGCATGCAAAAACTGGAGAAACATTATCCCTGCAATATCTCACTTTTCTAAGCTCCCGCTTCAATGTCTCCTCTCTGGACAGGTACTTGCCTGCATGCCCCTTTATGTCCGCCTCTGGTTTATTCTCTTCTTTAAAGCTATTGCCACATACTGTTTTGTGTCATTTCATTCCCAAACTATTGACTGATTCTCTTTTTTGGCTGGACCTATATGCAAGAAGTTTGGCCCTTTTCTATCTACACCTTATCTTCTTTTTGTTAAATAGGGAAGCAAATGCTGAAGAGGCATTTTCTCCTGCTTTTAGATACTTTTGGTTTACAAACAAGAAGTCATTTTCTTGGTGTCTCCATTTATATCACTTAGGATGTGGGATAATGATGTTTTTATATCCTGATGCAAATAACTCTTCATCACTTGAGTTCTGAAGGCTGCGTCTTCATAAATCTAACACTGGAGGTTTCTGCTCAGAAAACTAGGTCACTCCACATCATCTACAATGTGCTTCGCTTTACAGCACAGTCTCACCCACTCTTACAACTGGGGTGCACATGTATTTATTTCATAAGAAATAAAAATATCAGTGATGTATTTTCCACTTGGCTGAGAATCAGCAACCTCTCACCACCAATTTTTATACTGATTTGTACACTTTTAAGTAAAACGCTTATCCATATGTGAAGAAAAGTAATAATTAAAAGCTAATCTCAAATTTTATCTAATCCAGCAAGCTATACAATATAGTTTCCAAAGCAAAACTGAATTTCTAAAAGTGCAAATAAGTAAAATGTAATGACAATTTTCAAAAGATACCAATGCACTGTTCCTCAGTATTCTCACCTGAAAGTGAATGAATTTTCTCTATCCCACTCATGGGGTAGCTTGAAAGATTAAATGAAAAACAAAAAGAAGATGAAGGAGTCTCGATGTGTCTGCAATAAATGATACTTTATATAAAACGATGATGTTTTGTGGTGATTAGTAATACTTCATTTAATTGGGGTAGCTTGAAAGATTAAATGAAAAACAAAAAGAAGATGAAGGAGTCTCGATGTGTCTGCAATAAATGATACTTTATATAAAACGATGATGTTTTGTGGTGATTAGTAATACTTCATTTAATTGTTTCAGAAAGTATCATTGTCATTTATTATATCTATGTTCTGTATCTATGCAAGCATCCATCTCACCTTACTTTCTAACACAGGTGATTGTATGTATGTGTGTATATGTATACTTATATCTATCTATCTATCTATCTATCTATCTATCTATCTATCTCTATCATCTATCTAATCTATCTATCTATCTATCTATCTATCTATCTATCTATCTAGAGAGATTTAAGGAATTGGCTCACATGATGATTGTATTAGTCTGGGTTCTCTAGAGGGACAGAAATAATAGGATAGATGTACAGATGAAAGGGACTCTATTAAGGGGTACTGACTCACACAATCACAAGGTGGAGTTCCACAATAGGCCATCTGCAAGCTGAGGAACAAGGAAGTCAGTCCCAAAATCTCAAAAGTAGGGGAAAGCTGAGAGTGTAGCCTTTAGTCTGTGGCTGAAAGCCTGAGAGCCCCTGGAAAACCACTGGTGTAAATCCAAGAGTCCAAAAGTTGAAGATGTTCAACAGCAGGAAGCATCCAGCATGAGAGAAAGATGAAGTCCAGAAGACTCAGCAAGTCAACTCTTTCCACTTTATCCTGCCTGCTGTATTCTAGCAGTGCTGGCAGTTGATTAGATGGTGCCCACCCAGATTGAGGGTGGGTCTACCTTTCACAGTCCACTGACTCAAGTGTTAAACTCCTTTGGCAACACCTTCACACACACACCCAGAAATAATACTTTGCATCCTTCAATTCAACCAAGTTGACACTCAATATTAACCATCACAATAACAAAAGAATTGGCTCACATATATATATATATATATATATATATATGTATATATGTATTTATACATATAGAAAAGTATATATTAGTATATATATTTGTATGTGTATACATACATATATATAAATGTGTATATATATGTATGTCTTGGTGAGTCCAAAATCTGATGGGGGAAGCTGGCAAGCTGGATATTTGGAAAAAGTTACAGTTTGAGTCTAAAGGCAGCCTGTTGTAGAACCAAGGGAAGAGCCAATGTTGCAGATGAATTCCAAGGGCCATCTGCTGGCAGAATTCCCTCTTGCTCAGGAGAAGTCAGGCTTTCATTCTAGTCAGACCTTTAACTGATCGGATGAGGCCCACCCACATTACAGAGGGCAATCTGCTTTACTCAAAATCCACAGATTTAAATGTAAAGCAGATCTCATCCAAAACACCTTTACAGAAACACCTATAATAACGGCTGACCAGATATCTGGGCACCATGGCCCAGCCATGATAAACATAAAATTAACTATCACACTGATTATTATATTTTCCTTAATGGTTACATGTTTCAAAGCCACTGGTCCAGTGAAACAATGATGGAGAGCAAGCTAGCTTGAAGATTTTTGGAAGAGCTTACTTGGTTCTGGATGCCACTGGCCACATATTCTCACCCAACTATTCATCTGCATCCTGGCAACTCTATGGTGCCTCTGTTCTCTCCAGGCTGGCTAATATCACCTTAAATTCAGGCCTATAAATATCAAGAGGGTGACCCAAAATTCTCTACAACCCAACTACACTTTCCAGGATATTTGCTGCTATAATCTGTTTCTAGACACAGTATACTTCTGACACCAAATGTGGTAGGGATTTCTGTAATTCCCACAGCAACCAATTCTCCAACACCAACTGGGCATCCTGCAATTCAATTCTGACACTGTATACCTGGAGTTAATGTCAGGTCCCACAAGTGAAGAGCTCAGCCCCACAAGACTGCTCTCACTTCAGATTGCAATCACAAGGCCAGGGCTTTCCGTACTTCTGACCAACTGGATATCAGTTGAGGGTTCCCAGACCTTTTTTTTAAGTTTGATAATGTCCTAAAATGGCTCACAGAACTCAGAAAAACCGTTTACTATTGCTGGTTTGCTATAGAGAATACAACTCAGAAACAGCCAAATAAGTGAGATGACAGGATAAGGTATGTGGGAAGGGGTGTGGTGCTTCCATGCCCTCTCTGGGTGGACCCCTCTCCCAGCACTTAGATGTCTTCACCAACCCAGACGGTTCCTGAATTCCATCGCTGAGGGCTTGTATGAAGGCTCCATATTATAAGCATGATTCATCAAATCATTGAGCATTGGTGATTTACTCAATCTCCAGTCACTCTCCCCTTCCTGGATGTCAAGGGTAGTGCTGAAAGTTCCAATCCTCTAAACGTGCCTAGGTCTTTCTCATGGCCAGCCCCCATCCTGAAGCTATCTAGGTGTCCTAGCTACCAGTCATCTCATCAGCACACAAAAGACACTCTCATCACTCCAGAGATGCCAAGGGTCTTAGATGCTCTTCTGTCAGGAACCCAGGGAGTAAGACTAAATATTATAACAGATGACGCTTTTATTACCCCTATCACTCAGAAAATGACAAGGATTCAAGGAGCTTTGTGCCAGGAACCTAGGACAAATAACAAATTTATATTTATCATTATATCATGATTTCACATTTGCTGAAGTACTCTCTGAAGGAACCATTTCATGCCTTCTGTCTTGCCCTCTGTCATATCCACCGATGATCATTTCCCCCTAAACTGAAACTATTAACCAAAACATCCCACAACTTCCAGCCCCCTCAAACTACATACATACCCACATTGGAACTCATTATTTCCCCTCTTAGAAGCCTAAAATCCATTATCTATAGAACATAAATCCCAAACATTTTTTTACAACAAAAATCAGAGCACATCACTTCTCTGCTTAAAACACTCCAATCATTTTCCATGCTGTAAAAATAAAATTTGAATATGGATTTTCAAAGTTTGACAAGAGTAAACCTTTGCTTGCCTTTCTGTCCTCCTCTCCCACCACAGTGTCGCTCAACAACTATGTCCCAGCCATGTGGGTTCTGTTTGGTTTCCTTCCACATGACAGGTGCCTTGCCAGCTCAGAAACTTGGAAGCAGCTTTCCACTGTGCCTGGATGGCTCTTCCCCTCCTTGATATGACCGGCTCTGGGCTCTGTTCTTCTATTTTTTTTAGAGATGGAATCTCACTCTGTCGCCCAGGCTGGAGTGCAGTGGCATGATCTTGGTTCACTGCAACCTCTGTCTCCTGGGTTCAAGCAATTCTCTTGTCCCCTGTTCAAGCAATTCTCCTGTCTCTGCCTCCCAAGTAGCTGGAGTTACAGGCACGCACCACCACATCTGGCTAATTTTTGTATTTTTAGTAGAGACAGGTTTCACCATGTTGGCCAGGCTGTTCTCGAACTCCTGACCTCAGGTGATCCATCTGCCTCGGCCTCCCAAAGTTCTGGGATTACAGGCGTGAGCCACCACACCCGGCAGGCTCTGTTCTGTTGTTCAGGTCTCAGCTTAAATTGAACTTCCTCAAATAGGCCCTTCCTAATTACTCACGCTCAAGCAGATTCCTGGCTATTTTTCTTGCTGTATCTTTTACAACTGAATGTTGTAACCAGTGCTGTGTCAAACTATATTGGAACCTGAGCCAAAAGGGAAAATCAGTACTGTGACCCTGTCTTTATTACAGATTTTGATATTTTGTTCATCATGGATTTTTTGCATTAATTTCAATTGTTTTAAAATATTGCATTAACACATTATTTACCTTAATTACCGAGTTTCTTACCATTTCCTTAAATTTTGTGTCCCAGGTAAGTGACTCACTTGCTTTATCTGAGACCTGGCCCTGTTGGTAACCCAGGCTTCTCTTTACTTTTGGACCAGTATGATGATTTTTAATTTGCAGGCCCAGCCTAACCTGTAAGATTGTGGAGAATGCTGTCAAGTATCAGGGGTGACAGGGATGATCGTCCATGACTTAAAACTGTAAGAGATAATAGATGAGACAGGCAGAGGGAGAATAAGATGGGAAAGGTGGGTATCTGGGGTGGGAAGAAGAAGCATCCCTTGCAACCATAGTGGGAGTTGAAACAGACATCTTAATGCATAAGGATTAGGTCATCGGGGAAACTGTGTGAGAGGTAAATCAAAATGGCATTCTCTCCATCTTCAGGGAAGTACAGAAATGACTCCTTGAAGTGGGTGGGCCTCATGTGACACATGGATAGCCACACAGGTTGGTCAGGTTGATGATGCCTGTGGCAGAACAGTGTACATTATATTCAGAGGAGACAGTGAGTCACGCGTGCTCAAAGATCTATTAGTGCAGGCTCTTCAGAAATGCATTAGACAAACATTAACACTCCAGACTGCAGAGTTCCTTTAGTTGATTTGATCATTATGTTTAAATTCTTTAAAGACAATGTACATCCTTATTGGCTATACTTGAGCAGGCCATTCCTTCTACTCTACCCTTGATATTCCACTGTCATAACGTTAAAGAAACAAGGAAGATTATTTTTAGGCTCCAGGTAACTAAATAATAAGAAAACTGAAACTTAATGTATGGGCAAAAAATTAAATTAATGAGAAAATCTTGTCCACACTGATAACAATGGAAAAAAGAAATAGGTAATAGTGCCTGTGGTGGTGAATTAATACTGCATCTGGCTGAAGTAACCTCATTCTCAATTAAAAGGATGAAGTCCTTTGGAGGAAGAAGGGATGAGAGCAAGTGATGTTTACATACTTTATTACGGGTAATTACAATTATAGAAAGAATTTTAATGTTTTAAGAATTGTTTTGAAGTTAAAAAATAATAAAAGGGGAAAATAAATTTAAAAAAGGCAGATGGGGAACAAAAACAAAGGCATTTTAAAATAGTGATAGTGATCTTCTTTAGAAGGACACAGGTAAAAGGAGAATACTGAGAGCTAAGTATGCCTCAGAGGAAGAAACATTGGAGAGGAGGAGGGCCAGGCACCAAGGTTAGTTAGAGGAAACGAAAGGAGGTAGTCAGCACCTTCAAGTCAGCCAGAAACCAGGGAAGAAAAAAATAACATAAGAAAGAAAACAAAACAAAATATGTGGAACTGTGCAGTGGTCTTCATTAGTTTGAAAGCTTTGCTTAAGGTTTCTGTTTTAATGTTAAAGCTGGACAGCTGTGCCTGAATTCCAAAGGGAAGACGGTATAATGAGGCATGTTCAACCCCTACTTCCCATTATGGCCTGAATTAGTTTTTTTCAGGTTAGCTTAAGAATGTCCTAGGCTGGGCCGGGCGCGGTGGCTCACGCCTGTAATCCCAGCACTTTGGGAGGCCGAGGCAGGCAGATCACAAGGTCAGAAGATTGAGACCATCCTGGCTAACACGGTGAAACCCCGTCTCTACTAAAAATACAAAAAATTAGCCGGGCGTGGTGGGGGGGCGCCTGTAGGCCCAGCTACTTGGGAGGCTGAGGCAGGAGAATGGCGTGAAGCCGGGAGGCAGAGCTTGCAGAGCCGAGATTGCACCACTGCACTCCATCCTGGGCGACAGAGTGAGACTCCGTCTCAAAAAAAAAAAAAAAAAAAAAAAAAAGAATGTCCTAGGCTGAGAGGAAGGATCCTTTTAATTGGCTAGGGGGCTTAGAATTTTATTTTTGGTTTATGCTGCCATCGCCCTGCACTGTTGGGCCACATTAGAAAGGGAGGTGGGAAAAGAGGAAAGATTTACATGACTTATAGTGTACTCATAAATGTTTAACAACCAGATCTCCCTTCAGCCAAATTTTTTTAAAAGTAAATAAGTAAATATTATCTGATTTATAGCATTAGCCAATGTCCATGTTGTAAACACGACTGTCGTGTCCATTTCAAACTATTGACACATAATCAATCCCCAAAAGCAGGGTTTGGAAGCAATGCATGCAATTGGCTCTCACAAGCTGGTGCAAGCACATGTCTGTACTGGAGCCCATTTTAATTCTCTACATAGCACTAAATAATTCACATTGCTCTTGTTTGTGCATTTATTGCTTCTCTTATGTAAACACAATCACCAACATTGAGGTCTTAGTCATTGCATGATGTATAACAATATTGTCACTTAATAGGAACTCAAGCATAGTTATGTGTACATTTATTGCTAACAGCAGCACTTAACACCTGTAGAGATGCTTATTAGATACCGAGAATTGCATTAAATTTTAAAGTGGATGGTATAATTTGTTCAAGTATTCACTCATGGCTCACTCTTGCCTGCCTCCCGGTAGGCAGAGCGCCTGTCACTACCCTCTTAATTGGGGTCTTAGATTGATGACTTGCTTCGATGATGTAATGTTAGTGGGTGTAAATATACTTTGCCAAAGCAGGAGCTTTAAATGAATTAACAAGGTTTCTCGCTATCTCTTTGGGCTTCTGCCCTCATCAAGAGAACATTGAGGCCTGGTAGTGTTTCTCTTTCAGATTAGGACTGGAATAAAAAGACATGTGATACTGAGTCAAGCCCAGCTGAGTCAAAGGGAGCCTACTTAGGACCCAGCCAGCCCACGGCCTTCCAATAACGTAAGCAAGAAATAAATGTTGTAAGCCAATTAGATTTGGGGTTCCTTGTCACCACAGCGAAAGTTGAGTAATGCCATGACAAACACAGTACTCATTTGAACTTTGCAATGACTCTCTGATGTAGTTTTTACTATTACCACTCACATTTCATAGATGAAACTATTAGAAAACAGATAGGTCAAATGACTCAGAGCTTTACATGTCTAGTAAGTGGTATAGCTGGGAATTAGACTCAAGCTGACAAGCTCCAGAATCCACTCATTTCATAACATTTCATAACATCTCATTAAATAAATATGGTTAGGAAGAGGCACTGTGCTATTTTAATTTTAGCTCAAGACCTATATTTTGATAGATATTTTCAAAAGTTAAAAATGAGATGACCATATGTCCTATTTTACCATGGATAGTACTGGTTTACACCTGTTTTCCCAGCACAATTATGAATAGCCTCTTCTTTATCCTCAACATATCCCAATCTGGTAAATTATATATCCACCCTATTTAAAACCTACTTTCTTCCACAGCAGCGTTTTTGCAATGTCCTTCCACTTCATCGCTTCCCCTCACCAATCATCAGACTAATCCATGTCATGACAAAACAACTGAATATCTTCTTCAGGAGAGGCTGGCTCTTATGTGGCTCACCTGCCAATGTCGTCCAGGCCCCTTAGGAAGAGGTTGCTTTGGGGATCCCACCTGGGAACAATTTCTTCTTTAGGTGAACTCTAGGGTTCTTATTACATATGGAAATCCCCATGAACACAGGAAAAAAAAAAAAGCCCAAGATGGATCTGGTTTACAATCCTAGTACAAAGGAATACTTGTGTTCTCTTCTCTTGAGTTGGGGAATCAGTCAAATAAGCAGATGCCAAGGTACACACATTTAAGGAAATTTGTATGGGCAAATGTTCTAAGGAAAAGAACATGCAAGAGATTATTATATAGCATTGTATAGCATTATTTATGTAGGTAAAGGCAAATTGAGAGGTGAATAAACTTAAAAGAACCAAACACCTGCAGAAGAGAGGGGCCGGGGGCAGGGCCTCCTTTCCTTAGGTACAGCTCCCCTTACATTTAACATCAATTGTTTCTCCTTTCAAACCTCTCTAACAGATCTAAACCAGAATGTTTATGATAAATTACAAGATCTTTAAACCACGTTCCTATTTAAAAGAGTCATCCAAATTTTATTTTATTTTTTATTTTATTTTATTTTACTTTATTTTTTGAGACGGAGTCTCGCTCCGTCGCCCAGGCTGGAGTTTAGTGGTGCAATCTCGGCTCACTGCAAGCTCCGCCTCCCAGGTTCACGCCATTCTGCCTCAGCCTCCCGAGTATCTGGGACTGCAGGCGCCCCCCGCCACGCCCGGCTAATTTTTGTATTTTTAGTAGAGATGGGGTTTCACCGCGTTAGCCAGGATGGTCTCGATTTCCTGACCTCGTGATCCGCCCGCCTTGGCCTCCCAACTTGCCAAATTTTATTTTTTAAAAGCCAGGATAGTATCTCATTTCATTTCTGCATTGTGTGTAATTTCACAGCACCCAGTTTCACAAGGTGTCATTTATTAAGGGCAGTTAGAATAGAATTCTTAGACTTTAGCGCATTTCAAACAAGCTATTACAACAGAGAGTTTCATAGTGATATGTGGTTTGTTTTCTGTTGTTTTCTTGGAGCAATGGATATCTTTTTAAGAAACACTATATCCTCCCTTGCTTTCTTATATTCATTTTCCATACTGTAATTATAGATACATGTATAACTGTTGTCAAATATTGATAAAACATATGTAGGTCATATTTATTGAAACCCAATATCTGCTAGAATCTATGTTTTACTGAATCATCGCATGTTATCTTTTTAATAACCTTGTGACTAGGTAATACATCACTCATACTGACAGATGAGAAATAGAGACTCAGGGAGATGAAGCAACTTTCCCCAAAGTTCCATTGCTTTTAAGAGTCAAGGTCTTCCAGTCTCCAAAAGCCTCATTCTTTCCCTTGGTTTATGATATTCAATTTGGCTCCTGCTGTAATGTACACTGAAACCTCAGGCTGCTGAGCTATCTTGATGGTTTTAAGAAGACAATCTGGTGCCTTTACCTGCTAGAGAAGTCACCTAGAATCCTGTTGTTTAAGGTACTTTATTTTGTGCTTTCCAGCTACTAAAGCATACATGATGATATTCACATAGGTGGTGTTCATGGATTTTCATATTACACTCTGGGGATCAAACAAGATGAATGTGTGTTACAGAAAAGAAGTTTCTGTTTGAATTTCTTCTCAGCTCGCTATCTCTCAATACACTGCAGCTGCCATTCCTAATGTTTTGTTAATTTGCATGTCTTCAGCATCTTTCGTAATTTTTCTCCTTTTATTCTTGATATGGATCATTTGTGCCTTCTCATTTTTTTCCTTACTTGACCATTCTTTCCAGAGAGTTACCAATTATATGGTCTTTAAAAATTTGCTTTTATCTTTGTTCATCCTGTGTAATATATGCCGGTTTTCCATTTTATTAATATAGTGTCTATGTTTTCTTTGGGCTTATTTTACTCTTCTTTTTTAAGTGTCTCGACCCAGATTTCCAGCCTTTCTTCTTGCTCTGTCTGCTGCTTTAGCTGCTTCCCACACATTTTGATATATTGTATTTCCAAATATTTTTCTGATTTACTCTGTGACTGCTTTGGCCCCTGGCTTGAATTTTTTCGAAGCATATAGGGATTTTTCAGTTTGTTTCTTATTTCTAGTAATTTAGTGAAATAAGAAGACATATGCTCTATTATTTTAGTTATTTAAAAATTTTGACACTTATCCTTAAGGCCTAGTATATGGTTAATTTTTGTAAATGTTCCAGGATTGCTTGGGGGATGAAAGTGTATTATGTACTTATAACAGACAGTGTTTTATAGTTCAGTATGTCCGTTTGGTTAAATTTGTTAATTGTATTATTAAAATCTTACAAATTCTTACTAACAACTTTGTCTGTTTCTTCTATCCATTACTGATAAGTTAGGTTATGATTTTCCCCTATGACTCGGGTTTGCTTATTTCTTCTTTTAGCTGTGTCATTTTTATGGTTCATATATTTAAGGTCATGTTAATAAGTGCATGCAGATTTAAAATGTTTATTCTTCTTAATACATTTTATTATTATCATAAAGTAATCTTAATAATCTTAACCATCTGGCCTTTAGATCATGTGGTCTGAGGTAGGAAAATCAACCTTCCTAATACCCAGTATTATTTGTATGATATCTTCTCCTGACACTTTATTTTAAATTTTTCCACAGTCACAGGTTTTAGGTGTGTCTTTTATAAACTGCATACAGACATTTTCCCCTCTCATTCAGCGTGAAAATCTGTGCCTTTTAATTAGACCAGTTCCATTCCTCTTAGTATAATTATTGTTCTTTTTCGGTTTTAAATCAGCTCTCTCATTTCCTGCATTCTATTTTTCATATCTGGTTTCATCCTTTTAATCGTTTTACTAGAAATTGTAACATTCTTAATTAACTTGTCAAAACTATTGTTTTTTGCACCTTTTGACCCTCCATCTGAAATAATTTTGTTTCTGCCTGGAATATATCCTTTGCAATTTCTTTTAATAATAACAGGGCAGCTCTATTAGGTGTGGTTCATATTTGACTGATGATAATTTTTCATAAGTTTTTGTTCTTTGAAACCTTCCTTATTTTGTCTTTTTTTTAAAAAAAAAACAAGTTTACTGGGTATATAATTATACATCATAAATTATCTTTCTCACCACTTTAAAGCTACAATGTCATTGTAGTTACTGAGAAGTAAGCTAACAGTTCTACTGTTGTTCCTTGTAATGTGTCTTTTCTCCCCAGCTACTTTTAAAATTGTTTTCTTTATGTTTGATTTTCTGCAGTTTTACTATAATGTGTGAATTTTTAATTTATCTTGCTTGAAATCTGCTAAGTTCCTTGCATTGTGAATTGGTCACTTCTAACAGTTCTGAAAATTCTCACCCATTATTTCTTCAATTATTGCCTCTGACTCATTCTTTTTCTCCTTTCTTGCTGGATTTCTGATTTAAAATATGGTAGACCTTTTCTCTCTATCCTCTGTCTTTTAACTTCACTTTATTTATTTACTTATTTATGTTCTTTTTAATTCTTTATGCTGCACTCCGGATAATGTCCAGTTCATTAACTTTCTCTGCAGCTGTCTCTAATTTGCTGTTAATTTCATGAATGGAGGGTTTTTAAAAAATATTAACAATGGAAATGTTTAAATATATACACAAGGAAAAAAGAAAAGAATCATAAAATGATTCTGATATGATTGTAATTCACATTCAATCATTATTTATATATGGCCAATATTGTTTTACTGATGGACTCCTACCCCCCTCATTATGCACTGACTTTTAAATTTCAGCTATTTTTTTATTCTTAGTCTGTTTCTTCTTCAAATCTATTCTGTCATCTTTTATAGCTTCATATTTTTTACTAATATTTTCAAGTTTATCAATTTTATTTTTTAAGCATAGTAAGCAAAGATTTTATAATCTATTGTGTATTCAAATATATGATGTATTTGTACTTCTATTTTTTGTTCATTTATTATTTTGGCTTATTATGTCATATGGTACCTTATTTGTGCTGACAAGTGAACTTAGAAAAAAAATGAGCTTGATATTTTAAGATTTAGGGTAAGGGTACGTTCTTCCAAAGAGGATTTTCATTTGTTATTGCCAGGCTCTAGGGCACAACTAGTTAGGGACAACCTTAAATAAAATTCCATGCTGAGGTTCCTTGGACCACCGAGGAAGTGCAAGCCTTCATTGCTCACGGTCTGGAACAGCTCTGTTAGGTGTGGTTCATATTTATTTTGAGAGATTAGCCCTTTCGGATTCCAGTTTATTTGGGGATTAAGTCTTTTACTAGACTTTCTACATTAGGTATGCTTTGGGCTTCGATATGGTTCTCTTGCTCACTCCATAAGGCTATCAAGTAAAATGTTAAGTTTGACAAAATTGTCACATTCTCTCAGGGTAGACGTTGCTGCTGTACTAGTTACCTCCCTATTTTCCTCTTGATACGTTGTCCTAGTAATTCCTTACTGTTTCATATTTTCAAAATTTTAAAAACTATTTTTTATCCTGTATGTATAGTATTTTTCAGCAGGAGGTTTGGTCTAGAATACCTAATTGACCATAACCAAATTCAGAAGAAGGAAATACTATTTTCAGTTACTTACATAAAGATTAACCAATTCTAACCCCAAAGACATTCAAGTCATTTTTCTTTTTTTTCTGTCTCATCCACTCTCACTCCCAAAATTAGAATGTGTAATTCTAGTTTTTTAAATACTGTAAGATAACATATTTTTAAAATACTGTAAGATATTTGTGTTTTTTAAAATACTATAATATTGCGAAAATTTTCTCCCATTTTGTAGGTTGCCTATTCACTCTGATGGTAGTTTCTTTTGCTGTGCAGAAGTTCTTTAGTTTAATTAGATACCATTTGTCAATTTTGGCTTTTGTTGCCATTGCTTTTGGTGTTTTAGACATGAAGTCCTTGCCCATGCCTATGTCCTGAATGGTAGTGCCTAGGTTTTCTTCTAGGGTTTTTATGGTTTTAGGTTTAACGTTTAAGTCTTTAATCCATCTTGAATTAATTTTTGTATAAGGTGTAAGGAAGGGATCCAGTTTCTGAGGGCTCTGTTCTGTTCCATTGATCTATATCTCTGTTTTGGTAACAGTACCATGCTGTTTTGGTTACTGTAGCCTTGTAGTATAGTTTGAAGTCAGGTAGCATGATGCCTCCAGCTTTGTTCTTTTGGCTTAGGATTGACTTGGTGATGCGGGCTCATTTTTGGTGCCATATGAACTTTAAAGTAGTTTTTTCCAATTCTGTAAAGAAAGTCAGTGGTAGCTTGATGGGGATGGCATTGAATCTATAAATTACCTTGGGCAGTATGGCCATTTTCACGATATTGATTCTTCCTACCCATGAGCATTGTATGTTCTTCCATTTGTTTGTATCCTCTTTTATTTCCTTGAGCAGTGGTTTGTAGTTCTCCTTGAAAAGGTCCTTCACATCCCTTGTAAGTTGGATTCCTAGGTATTTTATTCTCTTTGAAGCAATTGTGAATGGGAGTTCACTGATGATTTGGCTCTCTGTTTGTCTGTTATTGGTGTATAAGAATGCTTGTGATTTTTGTACATTGATTTTGTATCCTGAGACTTTGCTGAAGTTGCTTATCAACTTAAGGAGATTTTGGGCTGAGACGATGGGGTTTTCTAGATACACAATCATGTCATCTGCAAACAGGGACAATTTGACTTCCTCTTTTCCTAATTGAATACCCTTTATTTCCTTCTCCTTCCTGATTGCCCTGGCCAGAACTTCCAACACTATGTTGAATAGGAGTGGTGAGAGAGGGCATCCCTGTCTTATGCCAGTTTTCAAAGGGAATGCTTCCAGTTTTTGCCCATTCAGTATGATATTGGCTGTGGGTTTGTCATAGATAGCTCTTATTATTTTGAGATATGTCCCATCAATACCTAATTTATTGAGAGTTTTTAGCATGAAGGGTTGTTGAATTTTGTCAAAGGCCTTTTCTGCATCTATTGAGATAATCATGTGGTTTTTTTGAGATAATCATGTGGTTTTTGTCTTTGATTCTGTTTATATGCTGGATCACATTTATTGATTTGCATATATTGAACCAGCCTTGCATCCCAGGGATGAAGCCCACTTGATCATGGTGGATAAGCTTTTTGATGTGCTGCTGGATTCGGTTTGCCAGTATTTTACTGAGGATTTTTGCATCAATGTTCATCAAGGATATTGGTCTAAAATTCTCTTTTTTGGTTGTGTCTCTGCCAGGCTTTGGTATCAGCATGATGGTGGTGTAGGGGGAGGGGGGAGGGGGGAGGGATAGCATTAAGAGATATACCTAATGCTAAATGACGAGTTAATGGGTGCAGCACACCAGCATGGCACATGTATACATATGTAACTAACCTGCACATTGTGCACATGTACCCTAAAACTTAAAGTATAATAATAATAAAATTTAAAAAATAAAATAAATAAAAATAAATAAATAAAATACTGTAATATAACGTATTTAAAAGGATTTCAGTGTTCATGTTATTTGGAATTTTTCTTATAAAAGAAAAAAGAAAATATATATTTTTACAAGCCAGTTTTATGGTAAGAATTTTCTTTGACTTATGTTATTTCTTGATGGAAAGCAGCTAAATATTCAAAATGTGATACAATGTAAGTATTCAAAAACTATTCAGCATTATGGTTATTGACATATTTATTTCATAGTCATTGTTATATGGAATAGTAATTGCTATATTTATTTCAAAATAAAATTATTGAACATGAATACACATTTCCAGTAGTTATAGTACATTTTAAACTGATAATATTTAAATAATGCTTTCAGTGTCAAACTTTCTTTCAGTTTCAAATTGTAATTAATAATTAAAAAAATTTTTCAGTTCATTTTTCTAGGAGGTGTTCTTATGCACACAGCAGAAAGGAGAGAGTGTTGGCATTTGTTTAGTGCCTAATATGATCAACAGGTTTTATTTTGTGTTGTGACTATGAGGAATTGCCTGAGGAGTTGTCTTTAAAATAATTTGTACGTTCATGGGTAAATAATTATATAATATATTAACAAACAACTTCTAGCTACAAGAGAAGGGAAATAACCTGTGTGTTATTTTCACTATCCATGGCCTACTATATGCCAGAAAGACTGTTAGGTGCTTAACACATTAGTCCTTGGATCACACCCTCAGGTGGATACCTCCCTCACCAGTCCCTGTCCCACAAGTTGTTTTTGATCATGTCACACAACTGGTGAGTGATAAAATGAAATTTTATCCATTCCACACCAAAGAATGTCTCAGTTAGGGATTGCATTCAGCTGCAAGGGAGAGCCCAATTAATTTGTGAATTAAAAGATTTAGAGACATTCTTTTTCTCATACAACAGTAAATTCAGTGGTAGGAGAACAGGTTAAGAACGGAACCCTCTTCACTCCTTTTCACTTTCTCCCATAGATCCATGGTAACTATTGCAGATCCTACCATCACATCCGCATTCTAGACAGGAAGGAAGATGGCACTTCTATACTTGTGCTTGTGTGTCATTCATTGTACAGAACTGAATTATGTAGCCATACCCAGCTGAAAAAAACTCTAAGAAGGATAGCTTTTAGCTTTCCAGGCTCATGAGTTGAGAAACACAATCCAGAAGGGGGTTAGAGAGTGGGTATGTGTGTGTGCCAATCCACATTAAATGTCATAAGGGCTATATTTTTTCCCATTAAATTAAGCCACCTTAGGTAAAATGCTAAATGTCATAATTTAATCAAAGAGCTTTCTACAGTAAGAATCGATAAAACAGCATTTTAGAGCACTTTGGTGTTTACAATATGCAACAATCCATTGAGATGTTTATCACCAGCCCCACTAAAAGTTGAATCAGGTCTTTATTTTAAATCCCATGCTAATTATACTGCAACAAACCAGCTCCCCAGTATTTATTTATAATCCTCTCATTTAGGTGAAAAGACATTTGGGGCTTATAAAAAATCTCTGAGATATTTTATTACCTATTAACTCATTATGTCATTAAAACTATGATTATAACCTTTATTAGCTTTTATCCCCTTTTTCACTGTCACTTTTGCATTTTGGCTCACCGAGAAGTGAAAAAAAATTCAAGAAAAACACATAAAATAATAAATTGATATACTGTGATGCTTAATTAGAAGAAATAAGCATTAATATGATTCTAATAAATAAAATTCTTACTAATGAAATTTAAGTTGATTATTTAAAAACTAAAATTTCCTACATTGATTTACTTATTTAACAGATATTTACTGAGTACTTCATTTGTCCAGTTACTAAATATTGGTGCGAAATGGTCACCAGTAGCTTATTTATTTACTTATTTTTATTTCTTGATGAAGTTTCACTCTTGTTGTCCAAGCTGGAGTGCAATGGCATGATCTCAGTTTACTGCAACCTCAGCCTCCTGGGTTCAAGCGATTCTCCTGCCTTGGCCTCCTGAGTAACTAGGATTACAGGTGCGTGCCACCCCACTCAGCTAATTCTTGTATTTTTTGTAGAGATGGGATTTCACCATGTTGATCAGGCTGGTCTTGAACTCCTGACTGCAGGTGATCCACCTGCCTTAGCCTCCCAAAGTGCTGGGATTACAGGCCTGAGCTACCATACCAGGCCAGTAGTTCTTAATTGTATCAAATCACCCAGAGGTATGACAAATTTATCCACTTATTTTTTAAATTTAGGTAAACATTCTTTTTTTTTTCAATTTTCTAATATCACGTGACAATCCGAAATAATAACATATCATTGCTGTTTCAAGTCCCTGTGGACTTGAAACAGCAATGATCTATTATCTCTCACAATTTGGGAGGTAGAAGAGGGCAGTAGATTGGGCAATTCATCTGCTGCTATCTCCTGGGAATATTCATGCACTCCCTGTCATCTAATGACTTGCCTAGGGTTCAGTGTCCAAAATGATGTCACTCACATGGTCGGGCATTGGTGCCCACTGCCAATTGAGACAGCCTGGTGATGCTGTCATCCTCCAGTAGGCAAGAAAGCACAGAAGAGTCAGGATTCCAGAACAGTGAAAGTGGAATCAATGAGGCCTCTTAAGGACTAGCCTTAAGAGTTGCACACACATCACTCCACTACATTCTAATGGTTAATGCAAGTCATAAGACCATCCCATATTTAAAGGAGTGGGGAAATAGACTCCACCTCTGAATGGAAGATATGACAAAGTCACATGGCAAAGGGTTTGTATACAGGGATGGGAAAAATTGTTATGCTCATTTGAAAGCAATTTTCCAGAGTCTACCCTCTTACTACAATAATTCACATCTTTCTATCATGTCAGATGTACCATAGTTTTCCACTAAAGTCTTATTTCAATTTTAGTATAAGTCTCACCTTCCAAATCCTTGTGATCTTAATCAGATCTTAATGTAATAAAGCTCCTCAGGTATAGCTATTCGTCTACATCTATAAATAAAATACATTTATCTTTCCCCCCAACTTCCCAATGCTCACTGTACAAAGAGAGTTGTGAGAAGTAGATAGTCAGTGGTCTTTACTAATTCTGAAATCCGTCTGGAAACATGCACCTGACTCCCTACTCCAGGAGTGGGGTATGTGACTGTTTATGCTTTCTGAGAGCAACCCATTCATTCATTTTCTCTCCAATTTTCACTTCTGCCTTCTGGGAACTTAGCTCCACTATCTGATGGTCATGTTTGAAAAGTCTACTATATTTTTGAACTCTCACTTTTGATAAAATATAAAGAAACTTATTAGAAGTATATAAAAATATTTTTAATCTTAGATATATTTAATTAGTCTTAGTTGCTTACACATATGTTAACAATAATTTAAAGTTCAGAAATGATTTTAGGTTTTAGTTAAAGTGAGTATCTAGTCTCTTGTGCAGTATTTCCTATAAGGATGATGGTCTTAATGTCTTAGCAGCATTCTTGCCATGTGGTTAACTACCTTTCAAATATATAAAATAAAATCTAGCTGTCAAAATATAATAAGTAAGGTAAATCATTATATTTTACTAAATTACTAACTTCATGGATAATTTATCACAAATCTAATTCAACTCAAAAATCATTTCTTGAGCTTTTTTTTTGTTTAGGTGTTAACCACTGTCTAAGCTCTATATGGGGCACTTAGCCCCATCGTGAGTGATGCAGAGAGCAGTGATTTATGCCTGGAAGAAATAAAGACTAAGGTGGATATTGCAGGATGAGTAGGAGTGTCTTTCAGGAAGAAGGAGCAGCATGATGAATGGCATGAAAACTTGAGTTTACATGACGTGTACAGGAAACTGGAACTCAACACTATTTTATAATGACAGTCAGCAGATGATGATAATTAAGTGCATGGACTCTGGAACCAGACTGTTTATATATCCATAGCAGGCCTAATATTTACTAGCTTGGTAACCCTGAGGTTAAATCTTCCCATGTTAAAAAATGGGAATACTAACATTATTATCTGCCTATATTGGTCAGCATTCTTAAAGAAACAGAAGCAAGATAATGTGAATATAGAGAGATGTATTTAAAGGAAATGGCTCATGCAGTTATGGAGGCTAAGTCCAAATTCTGTAGGATAGGCCAGCAGTCTAAGGATTAAGGGAAGAGCTGATGTTGGAATTCAAGACCAAAGGCCATCTGCTTTACTCAAAGCCCATCAATTTCAATGTTAATCTCATCCAAGGAAACACACTCACAGAAACGTCCAGAATCATATTTGACACCATGGCCCAGCTAACTTGACACATAAAATTGACCATTGCACCATCTCAAAATGTTCTAAACATTAAACAATGTAATATATGCAAACAATTTAGAATAATGCCCAATATACTGTAAGCCCTAAATAAGTCTGAGTTGTTTTATCTGGAATGTAAAGAGTGTTTGCAGTAATAGATGAGACTAGAGAGGGATCCTGGGTTCATGCCATTTAAAAACAGTATGCCATGCTATAGAACTTTTGTTTGTAACTTATAGGGAACCATGAATGGTGTGGTCATACTTGTACTTTAAATAGTTTACTCTGACAATAGTTTGTAAGGTAGAATTGCAGAAGTACAAACCTAAAGACAACATATGTCAAACAGAACATCAGTATAACATTCAACCTTCCTTCTTGCTGCCAAGCTTCAAAGGCCTAAATGACATTTCCTAGACTCTCTTGAGCTAGTTTTCTGGATGCACAAGACGTACCACTAATTAGGTGCATCAAGTGGCCATGTGACCTAAGATGCTTATTATGGGATGATTGTTATCCGATTCCCCAAGCTGTCAATTTTGGTGTGTTCATAAGCCCTCCATTATCAAGTAGAACAGCTAAAATAAGTGAGTGAGCTCTAGTGGGTTCTGGAGGAATAAACAAGTTGCACGAGCTAATGACTCGCAGTATTGACTCTGGATATATTGCCACTTCTTCCTCCACCCACACCTATGCCACTGAGGCATTTACTAGGACTGTAGACTGAGGAAGAAAAAATTAAATCCTGAAAAACATGATTTAACAAAATATCCTATTCCACCTGGAAATGGAGTTCTAAAACAATATTGTCAGACTTAGGGGTGGCCCTAAAGTTCAGTGGAGAAAATAGTCCTCCCATTGAGGAAACCTACAAGAAGTTCATTTTGTTTTTCCTTTTATTTCTGGGAAAGAAAAATATCTAGATACGTAGATCTATAGCAATTAATTAGAAGCTGATGGCTTGGCAAGATGGTTGGATGTTTGGAAGAAACAAGGTTACTGACAACAAGGTCTGGGGAAGTGGCATGTAAATAGGCTTCTCAGAATGACAGCAGAGTCAAAGCAATTTGTGTTGTTAGAATTTTTGTCTCTAATGTACACTCTGAAGATACTTAGTACTCAGTACTCAGAATAGGTGCACTACTCTCTGTATGTCAGTGAGCTTCTTTCCCCAGTCATGCCAGTGTTTTCTTAGAGGGACATATTGGCAGGTGTGGTGGTGCCATATGAGTTCCACTATCTGCTTAACCGAGGTTGGTCTGGTTAACACAACTGCTGACTTTTCAGTCTCCAATATACAGACCAATATTGAGACCCTAAAAAGGTGTGATACTCCAGGGCAACAGCCATTCACCTAACAGAAAATTGATTACATGGAAACCTTTTCCCCCTCTTTAGGCCAAACAATTATTTTTCACATAGATTGGCCTCTATCTATTCCTATAATGCTCTGTTCAGAACCGTCATTTGTAGAGTCATTAAATGCTTATTCACCATCACAATATTCCATGCAATATTACCTCAGACCAAGGAGTTCAAGAGGCAAGAGAGTCATGTCTATGTGACTCACTGATCTTAATATGCATGCCGTCCTCCAGAAGCAGTTACTCATATAATATGGAGGAATGATCTACTAAGTAATCAACATCATATGGGAGAAAATGTATCATGAGAGTCAAGTATGGTTGTAGAAGCTGCAGTAAATGTACTAAACCAGCAGCCAATATATGATGTTGTTCCTCCCTTAACCATAGTATAGAGTTCCAGGAACAAAATATTAGAAAGGAAAATGACTTTATTCACTCCCACTATAGTAGTTTTTGTTTGCTCCCACTATAGTAGTTTGCTAGAGCTGTCATAACAAAGTACCACAACTGAGTGACTTAAACAGGAGAAATTTATTGTCTCACAGTTCTGAGAGCTAGAAGTTCAAGATCAAAGTGTCATCAGAGTTGATTCCTTCTGAGACTTCTAAGGGAGTGATGTGGTTTAGCTCTGCGTCCCCACCTAAATCTCATGCTGAATTGTGAGCCCAAGTGTTGGAGGTGGGACCTGGTGGGAGGTGATTGGATCATGGGGGTGGCTTCTAATAGTTTAGCACCATTCCCCTAGTGCTGTCTCATGAGTGAGTTCTCACAAGATCTGGCTGTGTAGGTTGTACATGTCTAAGAATATAACAATTTCCTTGAGATTTTCCAGTGTACTGGCAAGTAGTTGCTCATAGTAGCTGCTAATGAGCTATTGAATATCTGCAGTATCAGTCGTAATGTCTCTTTTTTTATGTCTGATTTTACTTATTTGGATTTCCTTCTTTTTTTCTCAGTTTCTGTCACTGAAGTTTTATCGACTTTGTTTAACTTTTTAAAATGCAAACTACTTTTATTGATGCTTTTTATTGTTCTTTTTATCGATGCTTTTTATTGTTCTTATTGTCCTACTACTTCCTTCTAGTAGGAGAGGTTAGCAAGATAAAGTCCACACTTCCCAGCTTCCCTTGCAGGAAGGGTTCTGAAAGTGAATTGTGCGGGAGATTTGGCTCACTTCCTGTTCTCTTGTCGGCTGTTTCTCTATGTTTCCTGTTTGCCTTTATTCTTTGGGTCTCTAATGAAAGTTTGCAGTGCTTACCAGGATCTTCTCCTCCTTGTCAGGTCTAGAGCTCTGACTTTTATCTCCAATGTGAAAATGCCAGTTTCCTTTTTTGCATTTTTGGTTTCTAAGCTGTCGTTTTCTGCTTGGTTTCTCAGCCTCTCACTCCGGGTTTTTGCAGTTGAGGGTCTGGCAAATTTAAGGGTACATTTTATACAGAATACTGGACTTAGTTCTTTTAGTTCTCTGGGACCCTGGACCCTCCCATCCTGGTTTCCTTGTGGCTCTGAGCTCCACTTTGTTTCCTTTCTCCATTAAGATCGCTGTACAGTCTAGGCTGGTTCATCTCAAATTTTACTAGTAAAAAATGTCTTGTGGTCGGGCGCTGTGGCTCATGCCTGTAATCCCAGCACTTTGGGAGGCCGAGGCGGGCAGATCACGAGATCAGAAAATCGAGACCATCCTGGCTAACATGGTGAAATCCCGTCTCTACTAAAAATACAAAAAATTAGCCGGGTGTGGTGGTGGGCACCTATGGTCCCAGCTACTGGGGAGGCTGAGGCAAGAGAATGGCGTGAACCCGGGAGGCAGAGGTTGCAGTGAGCCGAGACTGTGCCACTGCACTCCATCCTGGGCAACACAGCAAGACTCCGTCTCAAAAAAAAAAAATTAAATAAAAAAATTAAAAAAAATTTAAAAAAAGCCTTGTTTGTCCTTACATAGCACTTCCATAAAATACAGCAAGTATGAATTACTGAAAAGATTTACTAAATAAAAGACATAAAGGACATAAAAATATGCTTGCTTTTAAAATTACTAGATAAAATGCACCCAAAATTGCTCTGTTAAATTATTATAAATATTTCTAAATTTGTCACATGTCATAATTATCTCAATAATACATATTGGTGTAAACAGTTTACAGAGGCCCTTTGCACCACACTTTGGTAGCCTTGTCTTAGGACATTGCCTACTGTTTAGTTGTCTAACACCACAAGGAGAGACTAATAGGAACCTACAGCTGACCTGGATGAATTTCCCCCACTCTGGGTTTTGTACCCCAAGTGCTGGCTGCACTTGCTGCTTTCCAGTCTTTTCAAACAGCAGGGGGGTTTGTTCTTGTTTCTCAATACAGCTTTCAGTTTCTTTCAGTAGGACTATGAGCTGAATACCACCTACTCCATCCTAGTTGGAGAAAAAAACCCTTTTCATCCTAGTTGGAGAAAAAACCTCCCAGCCGTGCTTCCTGTATAGCCTACAGAACTGTGAGTTAATTAAACCTCTTTTCTTCACAAATTACCGTATCTCGTGTAGTTTTTTTTTTTTTTTTTTTGAGACGAGTCTCGCTCTGTCACCCAGCCTGGAGTGCAGTGGCACAATCTCAGCTTACTGCAACCTCCACCTCCCGGGCTCATGCCATTCTCCTGCCTCAGCTTCCCAAGTAGCTGGGACTACAGGCACCCGCCACCACGCCCAGCTATTTTTTTGTATTTTTAGTAGAGACGGGGTTTCACTGTGTTAGCCAGGATGGTCTCGATCTCCTGACCTCATGATCCACCTGTCTCGGCCTCCCAAAGTGCTGGGATTACAGGCGTGAGCCGCTGCGCCCGGCCCCAGGCTCATGTACTTCTTTATAGCCATATGAGAATGGACTAACAGAGAGAACTCTCTCACTTAGCTTATGGTGATTGGTGGCTAATTCAACATTAGCCTTGAATATAAATGGCCTAAATCCTATACTTAAAAGGTATAAAATAGCCAATTGGATTTAAAAAAAAAAAAAGCCATCCTTCTGTGGTGTTCGAGTCCCATCTCACATGTAATGACACCCACAAAAAGTAAAGGGTTCTAGAAAGATCTATCATGCAAATGGGAAACAAAAACTAGGTGGATGAAACACAGGGAATTTTTAGGGTAGTTAAACTATTCTATATGATAGCACAATGATGGATACACATTATGCATTTATCAAAACCCACAGAATGTACAACAGAGTAAACCGTAATGTAAACTATGGACTTTCATTCAGTAGGACTATGAGCTGAATTCCACCTACTCCATCCTAGTTGGAGAAAAAACCCTTTCCAGAGTTTTTGATATTTGTTTTCCTATTTCCTTCACTTACCACACCTTCCTGAGGACAATGACCAAGTTTGTTCTATTTAGGGTCAGTAAACTACAACCTACCATTTACATCTTGATTTTGTAAAGAAATTTCTATTGGACTACAGTCACACCCATTCATTTACTTGTTTATGGCTGATTTCTCTACAATGACATAATTGTGTATGAGAGGTTATACGACCTACAAAGCCTGAAATATTTACTATCTCTTTACAGAAAAAGTTTACCAACCTCTTCCCTATGTCATTTGTATTTTTCTGTAACTCTTAGAATTTCAGACATTCTGCAATCATGCACTATGAGACAAATATTTATTAAAAACTGTCGAGGTACTGGGAACTGGGCAATATTCCTGAGATTCAGAGATAAAAAGGCACCATCTTTTTATAAGTAGTATGTAACAAAGTATGTGCAGTGATTACTACTGGCTGAGTTTTAAAAGATAATTCTGAATGGAGCATTTATTATCCTGAGTTGGAAACATTACTAGTCCATTATTTGAAGCCATGGTGCCATCATTATGATTTTATTTCTGATACTCTCAGGGATAGATGATATCTAGAGCACACAGTTTGCTCATTTGGTCTTTCTTAGTCAAGTCCATGACTTCCTTTTGTCATGGTGGTCTTTTACTCAAAATACATTTATATTTTTTATCGAAACAAAATATTTCAGGCTGGGCATGGTGGCTCACATCTGTAATCCCAACACTTTGGGAGGCCGAGGTGGGTGGATTACCTGAGGTCAGGAGTTCAAGACCAGCCTGGCCAACATGGTGAAACCCTGTCTCTACTAAAAATACAAAGAAAAAAAAATTAACAGGGCATGGTGGTGTGCATTTGTAGTCCCAGCTACTGGGGAGGTTGAGGCAGGAGAATCACATGAACCTGGGAGGCAGAGCTTGCAGTGAGCTGAGATCGGGCCACTACACTCCAGCCTGGGTGACAGGGCATGACTCCATCTCAAAAAAAAAAAAAAAAATTTAAAGATGCACATTTTTTGTTAAGCGTAATGAAAGAGAACTTTTGTTTATATCTCACCATTGAAAGTAGAAGCTATTTTTTCCTTTTCAGATGAGATCCGGCACGTTCAGGGTGGTATGGCCATAGACATTTAGTTTCTCATACTACTAATAAATATTCAAGTAATAATTAGTTGTGATGAAGCACAACACTTCCCCTTCTAAAACTGCTTCTCATTTGCATGGTATGTTTGTTCCCTTCATAAACCGTTTTAAATTGAGAATATATTGTTATCCAAATACTCCATTCTTATTTTTCTTTCTTGAATCATTTATTCACACTCTTTGAAGTAAGATGATGATCTGGATCTTAAACCTGTCTGTAGCCATATCACAAAATAACAAATGCTCTCTGAAGCACAATGGGACCAATCTGACACCGCATAACCCAAAAACAGACACCTGAATCGTGTTTCCTCTGGAAGCATTTTATTCTCTGTCATTGTCTACAAGAGCTGCTGCCTAATACACACAATGGAAGATTCATGAATCACTGAGGCATGAAAAAATGTTTTTGTAGCAGCAGAAATGTAATTAACTGCAACTTTGGTAATATTCTAGAGTGAAAAAAGAAAAACTTAGAGACATTTCTCAGGCAATGCTAAATATGTATGAAATTCCCAACCTTTTTATCTCACACTTAAATGATTTCATAGGCTCTTTAAGAGTCTTGCTCTTGATGCCCTTTAACATTGGAATGTCTATTCTGCTTGCTTTTCCAGGTAGCATTTTGACGCTTAGCTGATTTACTATTAACAGCAACATTTTACTAATACTTATTAATATTTGGAGTTTTTTAACAATAGCATACAAGTTATTTAGGAGCTTGTTAGAGATTCATAAGCGCATTAAATTTTTAAAAGATTTTGAAGCTCATGAAGCATGAAGAAATGTCCAACGATGTCTGGGGCATTTCTAAGATGTGATCTTCTGGTGGAACGGGATCAATGGCTCTGGGAGGGGCATGGAGAGTGTTGAGCAGAGAGTAGGTGGCACTGGGGGATGGTGAGAAGTGAGCATGGCTGGTGTTTGCCAAGAAGGTCTTCACATGCTCTGGCAAAGGTCTCCTAGTTGAAGAAAGTGCCCTCTGTTAAGAGAAAGCAGAAGATGAATGCTTATTTCTGTGCTGCATCTTACTGCATCGTGTATTTTCACAGCACTGCTAGGGTACAGGCAATTCCAGAAAGTTTGCTCAGGCCCTAGGGCACTTCAGTTCTCTTATAGTTAATTATATACAGGTCAAAACTCCCATACTTGGTGGATATATTGACTGAGGGCATCTAAAAAATCTCTGCATGGCCAAGGATAATATCTTACACAGAATAGGTCCTAATTAGCATATGTTGAAAGCAGAAAGGACACATTTAGGAAAGTTACAAGACTGGAAGGCAGGCAGGAAAGGCCACCCTTGTAAGATTAACAGAAAGTTAGATCCGGATAAAGAATTTTACAAAAGTGTCAATATAACTAATAAAAATGGCCCTAAAGAATACTTAAAATTATGGTTTATTGAGCATTTATACTCTGTGAGGACATTGTGTTTTTATTTTTCTTATTCCATTATTATCCACACTAATCCGCTGAGGTGGATCTCAGCATCAAAGTAACCTCAGGAGACTGTTAAAGACAGATTCCAGGGCACAACACCCAGACCTTGGATAATTCAGTAGATGTGGGATGGGACCTACGAACCTGCATTTTAGAAAGTATCCAAAGAGATTCTGATGTGCCACACATTACCTAGACTCTAAGTTTCTATTTATATAATCTAAGAAACCATTAACATTTCTGCCAGCCACATCACAGTCTTTTCATATTAATCTTACTGTCAGTCAAAACCCTTAGGTTCTTTTTACACTAATTACTTTAAGACAGACACTGTCTTCCTTCAGTTCCATATTTATAGAGTTCAAAGTGAGAACTGCAATGAATAATTTTAAATCTATTCTTATTCAATTTCATGTGACAAATGCTGACTTGTAGTCCAGCCTGTTGAGAATGTTTTGGATATTTATTCTGCTACGCCATGAATTATTGTCCTATCTCAAGTTTGAAATCAGCCACACATTTCCTAAGTGTCTCCTTTATTTGTAAGAGGGTCATAAACCACTAAAAGAAAATGACAAAGGGCAGAATGCTGTGAGCTCACTAGAGGCTTTCTTAAAGTTGATTGCCAACTTGTTAACTGAAAATCTTCAGCTACATTTTTTCACCAACGACAAATTCCCCTATCTCAACTTCTCTCCAGCCTTTATTTCTCCAGAGTCAATTAGAAAAATTTCACATTTTATTAAGTGCCTTACTGATCAAGTTATTGTATTTCTATTTTCTTTCTCTTTTGTGCTAGTACAGGGAATTACAACAAAGGGAGTTTGTATTCATCAGAGATCTCCAGAGAAAGAGCCAACGGGAGATTGTGTGTGTGTGTGTGTGTGTGTGTGTCTGTGTGTCTGTGTGTGTGTGTGTGTGTTTTAATTATAAAGTACTGACTCTGGGGATAATAGAGGCAGAGAGTCCCACAGTCTGTAAGCTGGAGACCCTGGAAAGCCAGTGGTATAGTTCAAATCTCTGAGAGCCAGCCCATCAGTACTATATAGACTTCTGTCTGGGTCTGAAGGCCCAGGAACCAGAAATGCTGAAGGCAGGAGAAGGTTGATGCTCTGAATAAATCAGGCAGAGTTAATGCAACCTTCCTGTGCCTTCTTGCTCTCTTCAGGCCCTCAACAGATTGGATGATGACCATCCACTTTGTGGAGAAGCATCTGCTTTACTCATCCATCAAGTCCAATGCTAGGGTCTTCTGGAACCACCCTCACGTCTATACACAGAAATATTTAACCACCCATCTGGGCATCCTGTGACCCATTTAAGTTGACACATAAAATTAACTATCAGAAGGTTTGTCTGGTGTTTAATTAAATATACACTTTTTGAGCACCCAACTATGTCTAGGCACTGTCTTTTATTTAATAAACATGCACTAGTCTTGAGGGGATCTAGCTTTGTCTCCTAATGGGTCGCAAAGCATTCATTCTAGAATTGAGTAAGACAGTGCTTATAAGAGGAAACACCATGCTTCCTCTCCATACTGGTTTCCAGTCAATGCTCCATGAGTTTTAGGGACTCCAAAGAAGTGTCTACGAGATCACTTTAATTAAAAAATGTCATAATAGGCATTTTTGTGGAAACTCAGATTACGTAGTATAGACAAATTCCTTTTGATCTAAATTAACAGAAGGATCAAATGAAAAGGGACTTTGAATATCAATCATGCTTATATGGTGATATCTTCTCTACTGTCTTCCACTATAATTTATTTATTCCTATTTATGTTTCATAAACTTAACCAATATCCTTTCTTTCCTATTACGTTGTCAATTTCTTGAGAAAAGAGGACATATTTTATTCTCTTTTTAAAACTCTGGTACAATGTTTTGCCCAATGTTGGCAAACAACAAAAATTATTTTTGGAGAAATGACTTTCAGCAGACACCTGGCAGGATGGAAGTTCATAGAACCAAAAAAAAAGAGAGAAAATTGCAAAAGAAAATTGTGTCATAGCCCACAATTTTGCCTATGATCTATCTTGGATCCCTTCTACCCGTAAAGAAATTGGGGCATATTAGGTTACCAAAACTGACTGGTTTTCAGGCTTTTTCAAAGGTGGCATAGAAGCAACTGAATGAAATTCACAAATTAGAATTTGATTCAATGGTGAAATTAAGTGCTTGCTCACTTCTCTACCAGGCACTTTGCATGTATTATCTCATGTTTAATGCTCATGCATCTTGTGAGGTAATTTTTACCATTACTCATCTTCTACAAAAGAGGAAAGGAAAGCATAGAGAACTTACTAATTTTCCCAACATGAGTGGTGGAGCAAGGAAATTCTAGGTACACTGATTCGAAGACTATAAACTCTTACATTTCTTAATCTATATACTGCACCTAGGATAGAAGAGTATTTCATATTAACCACCTTTAATACAACATCACAGTGAATTTATGTTTTACTCCATGTAGCTGCTGAATCTTTGACTCAGCCTGCTTTAGGCTTCTGTGTGCTGCTTGCACATGGAATGGAGAATTGAGATCCTTTCATGATGCAAAAGACTTTCAAGCCTGTTACAGTAAAACAATTATATTTACAAAGAGAAAAACTGTGTTCCAGTTTGCAATCAATCAGTCCTGCAAAGTCATTATCCTAGTAATTGGATTACTACAATTGTATGTGAAAAAGAGAACTACCTGATATACCCTTGATGAAAATGACAACAACATTTATATCCAAATGGGCAATTTGGGTATAATTTAACTCGATGTGTGGTAGCAAAAAACCCTCTTCTGAATATATATGTTGAATATTAATTAACATATTTTTAAAGCAAGTTTTGAGAAGTCTAAGCCATACCATCATGCCTAAAAAGAATGTAGCTTTTTACTTTACCAAAACAGCCTGTTTACAAAGAAGGGCAGTAGGGACATGGGTGTAGCCTGACTGGATTTTTCATACAGTTAGAAAGTCATTTAGAAGGCTCAGATGTCAACATGAAAGTTTGCTTTGAGATAGTTATGTCAAAGAAATTAACTGGATCATTACATAAATCTCAGTTAACCTTGGAGAACACTATGGTGTTGTCTTGGATCCCTGATATAAGTATAGGTTCCTAATGGTCTGTTTAATAAGTGCAAAGTTCTCATCATTGTCATAAAAGTTAAAAAGAAATATGCTATTTGCTTGTATCTTTTTATTTGAATTCCAAATTGTATTTAATTAAACAGGGAACTCATTGCTTAGATCTCTTAGTTATTATTTAAACATTTTCTGTTTTAATTTTAACAACGTAAATTTCTATGGTTGATAGGTTGATAATTATATTTTATAATTTATAGAATACTTTTAATATGACATATGCCCGCATTAACAGGTACTATATGAAGAAAGCACAGAATTCCATTACGATTATATGCCGATATTATCATTACAGTGATAAACAGAGATAGAAACTGCTACTTGAAATAAAGAACACAAAATATGCGAGTTGATATAGCATTAAGCATGTCTTATATGTATAGAACTGGACTGAGAGTAAAATGTAAAACAAAAAAGACATTAACCCTAATTTCAGCAAAAATTATATAACATTCAAAATAGTACTTCAAGTTTATAAAAGCCTTTTGTATATTACTTCATTTCGTTTTTACCACAATCTTGAAAGTGAATAGGAAAGACATGTTATTTTCATTTTCAGATAAGCTGTTTGGACAGAAAGAGGTTAGACGATTTGTCCTAGGTTATAGAGCTAATGAATGGCAGAACTGGGGCTGGAACTTAGTGCTTTCAATTCCAGATGCAGATATACTTCTTTTGTTTTAGCTGTCTTAACCCACATTGTATTAGGTATGGATTGGTAAAATTGAAACGTACTACATACTGTTGCCATAGGGATGGTTAATGATGTGGCACAAAGAGTGGTTCATATTTCTGCTTAATGGGATGTTACAGTTTCATTTTGGACTCCAAGCATGAAGGATTTCTTTCTAACAAAAGGGAAGTGAAAAACTTCTCCATTAGAAAAGAATACAAAGAAAATTCTAACCTAATAGATAAAATGTAGCAGCTATTCCTTCCTCCCTCCCACCTTCCCTCGTTCCTTCCCTCTCCCTTCCTAATTCTCTCTCTTCTTACCTCTAAATAAATCTTATAAATGCAATAAAACTTCTAAATGCCAAGCTCTGTGTTGACAACAGAAATAGGAAACACATAATCCCTACCATAATACAACTTACATTCTCACCAGGAGATGATGCCAAGGGAGGGGAAAAAAATAAATTAAAAATAAATTACATCATCTGTAAATTATAGCAAATTCTATGAAAAAAATCAGAGTGCAGACAAAGAGAAAAACAGAGTCCTGATTTATATAGGGGTGGTCAGGCCTCTCTGAAAAGATGGTATTTACGTTGAGCCTGAAGAGTAAAAAGAAAACAGCTTAGTAGATAAAGACACAGAAGTAGACAACAGCACACTCAAAAGCCTTAAGAAATACCTAGCTGACCACTTCAAGCAATTGAAATAAATACAGTGTTGGCTCAATGTGAGCTTTGACTAGGTGAGCAATATGACTTTGGAGAGGTGGAGAAGGGACAAAACATGCAAAATCTTTTAGGCAATGGCAAGGAGTTCAAATTGTTTTTTCTGATGTATTATGAAGTCATTAAAAGATCTGGAGAGGGAAGTGACGTGAGTGAATTCTTATTTTAAAGACAACTTTTACTACTACTTGGAGAATGAATTGGAAGGGTTGGGTGGGAGGAGAGAGAGTGTAAATGTGAAGATCAATTAGGATTCTGTTGTAATAGACTAGGTGAGAGTTGACTGGACTGGGGTGGTGGGAGCTAAGATGGAGAAGATTAGGGGTACTTAAGTATTTGGGGAGTGTAAGTATTCAGGTCTTGGTAATTAATTGGATGTTAAGGATTGAGAGAGGAATCACAAAGAATTTCTAAACTTGGGGCTTTACCAGGCCGATAATTAGTTATGCTGTAATTTAGAGATATTGGGAAATTGAGGCGGGAAGATAGACCGATTGAGGAAGTATAGAATTAGGGGATTATGCTGCCTTAGAAATGGCTATAAACTGTAATATTTTCTATATCAAGCTGGATATATAATTTGTGGTGTTACCTGTATGTAGATAGTATTTTAGTTCACTGAACTGTTAGTATCTAATATCATCTAGAGGGTAAATTTCATAGAGATTTGCAAGAACAAAGTCATGTCAATAAAGACCACAGAGTCAATGGGGAGACTCAGTAGAAATGGACAATAAGGCAGGAGAAACACTATGAAAGTAGAAACGTAGTATGTACACCAGTAGAAAGTAGCACGGACACCAGCAGCATAGAGAAGAAAGGGTTTTGAGAAATATAAGGTATTTAAAGTGGTGGAATTCTACTTGGATATTGCGTAAGATGAGTCAAAAGGAACTACCACTAGATTTGGCAAAAGCAGTTATGAAGGTCAATGGAGTGCTTATCTGGAGAAATTTTATTGGTGAGTAAAGGTAAATACCAGACTAGCATAAATTAAGTCAAAAAAATTAGTAAATGAAAAGATACTCAACATTATTAGTCATCGAGCAAATGTAAATCAAAACCACAATGAGATAACATATATGTCAACTGGATGATTTTCATAAAAAATACCTATAATAACAAGTGTTGGTGAGAATGTAGAGAAACTGGAACCATCATACACTTTTGGTGGAAATATGAAATAATGCAGTTGCTTAGAAAAACAGTCTGGTAACTTTTCAAACTGCTAAATATAGAGTTATCAGATTATCCAACAATTCTGCTTCTGGACACGTACCAAAGATAAGTGGAAACATAAGTCCACACAAAATCTTGTACACAAATATTCATAGCCACATTATTCGGAAGAGCCAGAAAGTACAAACAACCCAAATATCCATGAGTTGATGGAAGGATAAATAAAATGTGGCATATCTATACAAAAAATATACTTTAGTCATAAAATGAATGAAGTACTGACGTATGCTACAGTGTGGAAAAACCATGAAAACATCATGCTAAGTGAAAGAAGCTAGACACAAAGGACCACACGGTGTATTATTCCATTGAATGAAATGTCCAGAAGAGGCAAATCTGGAGACAGAAAGCAGGATAATATTTTCCTAGGATTTAGGAGGCATGGGAGTGAGGAGGAGGTGGAGAGATTAAGAAATGACAGCTAAGGAGTCCAGGCTTGTTTTTAGGGTAATGAAATGTTCTAAAAATGATAGCGTTTATAGACGCACAACTTTGTAAATATGCAAAAACTATTGAATTGTTCACATTAAGTGGGTGACTTTTGTGGCATATAAATTATACCTTAATCAAACTGCTAAAAAAAATAGAAAATTAGCAAGTGAAGACAGCACAGGAAGAACAAAGAAAAAAGGAAGGAAAGAAGAGGCCGGGTGCGGTGACTCACTCCTGTAATCCCAGCACTTTGGGAGGCCGAGGCGGGCGGATCACGAGGTCAGGAGATCGAGACCACGGTGAAACCCCGTCTCTATTAAAAATACAAAAAATTAGCCGGGCGCAGTGGCGGGCGCCTGTAGTCCCAGCTAATCAGGAGGCTGAGGCAGGAGAATGGCGTGAACCCAGGAGGCGGAGCTTGCAGTGAGCCGAGATCGCGCCACTGCACTCCAGCCTGGGCGACAGAGCGAGACTCCGTCTCAACAAAAAAAAAAAAAAAGAAGAAGAAGAAAGTATTCAGTATGTTTAGCTTGTTAGGAACAAGCAGGGGATGAGAAGGAAGACCAAGTGGTGAGATAATACCAATTTCTGCTTTGGATTAAGGTGTTTATTAAATTATTAAACATGCAGAAATATTTTTTAAAAGATGACTCTTTTCAATGAACAATTACAATATTGGATCGCAAACCAAGGATTATGATTAATCCAATTCTTTTGACCTGAGAGTCAAAAAATAAAAATTCTTATTTGAGAGAAAGGATAGCAGGAAGGAAGACCTACTAAGCAGGATTTCTGCTTAGAAGATTTTATTTTCCACTTAAGGTTTCCACTAATGTTGGATCAATCACTCACGATCAAGGCACTAATAACGTATTTAGAACAGTAACCAAAAAAGTAACTTCAAAGCAACTTTAACAAGTAGTTTAAATGGTCAAAGTACAAATTGAATAGCACAAGTGAAATAAATCTCTCAATATCCTCATCAATAAAAGAAAATTATAATCAAATAATTTATAAAATCCACACTCTGCATTTTAATAAATCTGAGATATCTAAATAAATCTCTTCTAGAATGCTATTCCCTTATTAAAAAGGTGTTGACCTCTGTGAATGGAAGAATCACAGAAGAGTCACGCCAGGTGGTCTCCATGGACCAACATGCGCTAACATATGAAAATACCAATAAATATGAAAAATCAACTTCATGTTTCCACACATCTGATACACATCATGTTTTCAAATATAAATAATTTAACCATGATGTGACAATTTAAGGGGAAAAACCCTTTTGTTCTGTCAATAATAGTTACTTGACTAAATGACGGATGATGAAAGGACATTGAAAAGCATTTTGGAAAGATTTATATGAAAATGGAGATGAAATATGGAGAAGGAAGATTAAGAAGCCAGACCATTTTTTCTATAATTATAATTTGATATTCTTTTCTTCATAAATGTTGATTAATTTCAAGTAAGAAAGGGAAATCATTGGAATATTAGGCGGCAATAGAACTAAGATTAAAATCAACAGCTGGAGTGTTGGTGAGGTATCTGTGTTTCTTGGCACCAATTTTGTTATTCATTTAGGAATGTTGTTTTAAGGGGTGTTCATTAGCTACTCATGGTGTATGGGCTCATTGCACTGCACACATTTTCACATTATGATGAGTCTGTTACCAACTAAATATACCATGTGGTCTAATGATTGTATCAGGATTTGAGAAAGAGCCTGCTTCTTAATTAGGATCAAAAAAGTCTTGAAGACAAAAAGATAATCAAATAATCTTATAGTATTAGAGTTGAAGTGAGTTTGTCCAAACTTCTCATTTTATAAATGAGAAATCTGAGGCCCAAACAGGTTAAATAACTTCCCCCTGATCATTTAATGTCGGAGGATCTAGGATTGCAAATGTCCTAATTCCTTGTCTGTCTCGTATTTACTGTACAAAAAATAATAAACCACTATAATTATTTGCCCTAATTCTGAATTCAAATAAAACAAGGTTTTAAACATTTTACAATCAAATTTCCAACTTTTAAGTATAGCAAAAAGCAACATTTGGAGGCGGAGGTTGCAGTGAGCCGAGATTGCACCACTGCACTCCAGCCTGGGCAACAAGAGTGAAACTCCATCTCAAAAAAAAAAAAAAGAAAAAGAAGAAAACTTGATTTTCCCACAATACTGCTTTGTCAAAGAAAAATAGCAATGTGGCTCTCGATGCAAGGAGTTTCTTAGGCAACAGAAAACCAATCCTTTCTTGAACTGCATCTAACTACTGATAATCTCACATACTGACTTAAAAATGTAAAGATTAAATATATTTTTACTCTTCTAGAAGCTGCATTTTATTCTTAACATTTGTTTGCCAAATGGTCAAAGTTAAACAGGGGAAAAAAATGTTTAAGACTACTGCAATAGAGGAGAGATGCCACAACACTAAAGTCCGAGTTCAGCTCCCTGAAACAAATGATGAGAGAGTTTTTTTGTTTGTTGGTTTGTTGGTTGGTTGGTTTTTTTGAGGAGGACTTTCACTCTTGTTGTCCAGGCTGGAGTGCAGTGGTGCAGTCTCGGCTCACTGCAACCTCCGCCTCCCGGGTTCAAGCAATTCTTCTGTCTCAGCCTCCCAAGTAGCTGGGATTACAGGCACCCGCCACCACGCCTGGCTAATTTTTGTATTTTTAGCAGAGACGGAGTTTCACCATGTTGGCCAGGCTGGTCTCCATCTCCTGACCTCAGATGATGCGCCTGCCTCGGCCTCCCAAAGTGCTGGGATTACAAGGCGTGAGCCACCACGCCCGGCCAAGAGTTTTGAAGAGTTGAGGTTGGGGAATCACAAGCCATCTGTTTGCCCTCACTCAATGGAAAAGTAAACTTTCTCCTATCTTCATGATGGGGTAATTTTTGCACTTGGAGCAAGGCACCCACTAGGTCAGGCTCCTATCTTTCCACAGCAACTGGGCAGTAGGGATGCTAGCCTCTTTGATGATTACATTTCAAAGGGACGGCTCCCAGGTCCTTGAGAGAGTCAGTCCTGGGTTGTAAAACTGGAAAGAAGCTTCTAAAAATATTTTCATTTCAAAAAGTCAGAGGAAGAGTTCATAATAAGTTTTCTAAAGTAAATACCCTAAGAAAAAGGAGGGAAGGCTCCTCTGTGTTCAGACCAACTGGATGCTTTGAGGGCAGGATGGGAAAGTGGTTAGGGGCCTAGAGGCAGGAGGAAGCCTATCTAGAGTGTAGTCAAACTGAGGGACATGCTAGGGCTGACTTGGTCATGCCCAAGGATGGTTCTTCCCAGTAAACTGATGTCATTTAAAAAATGCTGATTATGGCTGCATAGTATTCCATGGTGTATATGTGCCACATTTTCTTAATCCAGCAAAACTTAAAGTATAATAAAAAAATAAAATAAAAATAAAAAATGCTGATTATATCAGAACCATTCAAAATCAATCAAAGTGATTTGATGCATGAACAGAATTGTAATGACATGTAAATACTTAGGCAGTCAATTTAGACTTTAGGCATTTGGAAGATTCTATGCCTTCTTCCTACATGAAGAGCCAGCCGTTGGGGAGAGACAAGGGATAAAGTGTTAATTCCTCTCTCTTCCTATCTTGTTGTTTGTAATCTGTAATTTACACAATCTTCTTCTACAGAGTAATTGTTTTCCTTTTCCCTATTTACCACTTCAGGTCCCCAAATTTATTTTCATCTCCCAAGACAATCATACTCTTTAAAGTTCTAACCATTAGAAGAGCTGGGAATGGTCACACCAAAGAAAGTCATAACCATATTTTGTGAGCATGATTCTCATCTTTCACTTATCTCTATGTTTGGTTAAAATTGCATACATTGTGGCATTTATAGCTTTGCAAAAGCTCAAATTCTAAATTGTATTTAATTTAGAAGGTTTTGGCAACAAAGCCATTTAGTCATTTTTGTTCTTTTCTCTAAATTATAACTTCTTATAATATGATTTTAAAATTATATTTAGTGCCAGTATTTTATTACTATATTCTAGGTTTTGCATATGAATTGTTGATAATTGATACTAAATTTAGCTTTTTGTAATTATCTGTCATTTTTTCATAGAGTTACGTGTGAAAGATGATCCATCATTTTATTCCAAAATCATTAATTAACTTATGAGACAATTTTTAAAAAATACAAAGAAATTAACCAACTGTCATTCAACAAAGTATTCTAAGAAATAAATTTTTGGTAACTTTAAAAAATAAATAAAATCTCATGCTTGGATTATCTTTTATATTCTTGATTCCCAATCATTTTCAAGAGAAGAAACAACAGGGTTTTTTAATTAAGTACTTTTATCCCAGAGGGGATTTGGCTTCCAGTTCCCAAGATGAATCCAGCTTGGGTTTCAGCTCCTTCTACCAAGCAAGGTGGACTCAATGTGAAGTTCAAGTCAATAACTGGAGCCCAGCTGTGAAAAACCCCAGGGAGATTGAAGGCACATAGAGCCTGACATACAGGAAACTTGGTGGCCTAGAGAGGTCGGGGGGAGGACTAGAGGAGAGGTTGGGGGAATAGAGGAGATACACTGAGGACAGAATCAGGGTGATGTGGCTAAGTCGCATTGCCCCTGGAGAGCTGTGGCCAGAAGTTTCCACCTGAATGGGATGGGGCAGAACTGCACCTAAACTGTCATCTCTACCACTATGTGTGGGGAATTTATCAAGTGCTGCTGGGCTGGGCCAGGCATGCAAGTAGGGCACAAAAGATTCTTGGTCCCAATAAGCCATTATCTTAAGGCTCTGATCCCCAGGTTTTGCTGCAGCTGTGCTATTAGCTGGAATGCAGCAGTGCTGTTCAAAAGGAGAAGAACATGAGTTTGTGTCAGAACTGAGGTGAGGAATAGGTGATAATAGTTCTGTAACACCCTGAGGATTCCCTACAGACCCCTTAGACAATGGTACAGGAGGGTACTCATCCCTAGAGCAGAGCAGAGCAATGCCTGGGACAGGGAAATGAGGTGGTGAGGAGACCCAGGAAAACAAAAGCTGTATATGCTGAATCCCAGAGTTCATAAAGTCAGCAAGAAGGCCCATCCTACTGGACCCACAAATTTTCACAAACGCTCAGTTTTTGTTTTCCTTCAAGGCTGCCATTCCAAGCCCAGGTAGAGGGCAGTTTCAGGGGAATAAAGATGAGCTCAGGGGAAGAGAGACAGAAAGAGAGAAAGACAGACAGAGAGAGAGAAAGGATGTTGATATGGTTCGGCTGTGTCCCCACCCAAATCTCACCTTGAATTGTAGTTCCCATAATCCCCACATGTTGTGGGAGGGAAGAGGTGGATATAATTGAATCAGGGGTGGGTTTCCCCACCCTGCTCCCATGATAGTGAGTTCTCACAAGATCTGATGGTTTTATAAGGGGCTTCCCCCTTCGCTGGGCACTCATTCTCCTTCCTGCCACCATGTGAAGAAGGACGTGTTTCCTTCTTCTTCTGCCATAGTTGTAAGTTTCTTGAGGCCTCCCCAGCCTTGCAGATCTGTGATTCAATTAAACCTCTTTCCTTTATAAATTACCCAGTCTCGGATATGTCCTTATAGCAGCGTGAGAATGGAGTAATACAGATATTATATGCACAGTAAAAGAAATAAGACCCTACACCAGAGGAAGTGAACCTAGTAGCCAGGACAACAATTTAAAACAAGCACAACAAAGACTTTTAAAAAGATAAGAGTAACAGCAATGGGTGGTTATGAAGAACTAACTGAAAATATTTAACTTGAATAAAATAATTGTTGAGATAAAGCAATCAAGGAATAGAGATTTAAGTGGACACAAAGACAAATTGGTAAGCTGAAAATCTTCACTGAGAAACTCTCTCAGAAGGTGTCATGAAGAGATAAATATATATATATAACAAAATGTAAAACATATTGGGCCAGAAATAGAAATATCAAACCTTTTTCTAATGAGTCCCAGCTATAAAGATGTCAGACTGATGAAAAGAAAGGAATGTACACCTGAGCAGAGAGGGGATAAAAAGGCAACACAAGGACACAACAAGCTCTCCTACTAAAATGAGCCTTCTATAACTGAGACAGCAGTTTTCTGTGAACAAAATTCATAAATCTTATAAATTTATGAATTAAACAAGGACTTTAAATACAATATTTTTGCACCTAGCCAAGTAGATAAGTGGAAGTGTGACAATGAAAACTAATAAACAAAGAAGACACTTGAAGTTTGATTTTCCCCAAAACTGATTTTAACGTCAGAATCTGAGTAAAAGCAGCTTACTTGGAAGATGGGAGTATTCTTGAAATTATCATTCAGGACTGGGGAAGCGAGGCAGGAGGACTAGAAGCCAAAAGATACTGCATTAAGGATCAGGTATCACTGCACTCACCTGGCGCCCAATACCGCTGAGGACTCCTGGGAGGTGGGCAAACATGCCTCAAAGTTGTCCCCCTGAGGGGCAAGAAGTTTGAGGTAATTGTCCATCAGATTTCATCTCTAATTGATAAGCATTGCTCACAAGAATGTTAACCCCAAGAAGTTTTTGCTTGTCCTGATAGGGACTGAACATGGTCCTTTGGCCAGAGAAAGCTCTCAGCTGCAACCACAAGAGTTTACTTTATGGGATTAAAGTGAAGCAACAATTCCTGTTACTACAAACAAGAAGAGTGAGACTTAATCAGGGGATCTTGGGAGAAGAAAAAGAATACAGTCATTATAAAAAAAAAAAAAGGAGGAGGAAAGTTTTACAATGGACTCAGTGAATTAATGAATTAATTTAATGAATTGGAAATTAACACTAGATTACTCACATATAATGTAGAGCAAAGCAACATTTTTAAAAATGTGAGAACACAATTAAGAACCAGGAGGCTAGATAAAGAGAAAGCAACATTTATGTAATACAAGCATTAGAAGAAAAGAGTGGAAGAGAATGGCAGAAAGGTAATAGAAGGAAAGATCATTGTAGAGAATTTTCTAGAGTAGTAGAAATAAATCTTCAAGTTAAAAGCAAACTCTAATTTACAATTAGATACATGATGACTAGACTGAAAATATGAAACCTAAAGAAGCCATCTTAAAAAGTGTCAAATAAGAAAACTGACTTAGGCAATGTCAGTTTAACTGCCAGCCTATTTCTCAACAGCATGCTAAATGCTATAAGGGAATAAAAGAATAATCTCAAAATGTTGAGCGCAAAAACAGTTACACAATTTTATTGTATCCAGTTGACTTTCATCCAACACTAAGGGCAAAATAAAGGCATTTTCAATCAAGCAAAGATGGTAAATATATTAAAAGGTGAATAAGAACATTGACAAAATATCATAGTACACGTGATACTATGAAAATCTAAAGATGCAATGTGAACTCAGTTTATGCATTAAAAAAGGAGCAGCTTTTATTTCCAGTAGTATGGAAGAAACTCCCAAATGAAACAATTAACATGCTGAATAAATATTTTCAAATGTATATTTTTAAGTGCATTGATGAGTTTGCAAATTAGCAAGGCCAAAAGCTAAGTGAACACAGTAAATTAAAGAAGGGAGTAAAAACTGAAACCAGTTTTTATCTTGGGGGTATTTGCTACACGGATGGATTTGAACCTCAATTATCACAGTTTCATGAGTTATGAGCATGACAGAAAATGTCCATATGAGGCATCTTCTAGGCTACATCCTCAGGGTAAAGAATGAACTAGAAATAACCCTCTCCTTCCCCATTCTACCTACCCGTACACTTATCATTCTGTCTTGCAAATACCTATCAGAGGCTTGCAAGAAACAAAACTAACAAACAAACAAAATCCCATGCAAAAATCCTCATAGGTTACCTCTTAAGAGCTTCGGCAATTAGTGAATGACTGAAGGGATTTTTTTTCCTTTATAATTTGTAACCAAAGTTTTTCTCAGATGATTTGAATTTTGAATTGATAGTACTGAGGTGCTCCTAAGTGACTTTAGCCAAGCCTTTAGTTTAAAGTAGTCCTGAACTGGTAGTGCCCCAAAGTGCCTGAAGAATAAAAAGCTCAGCTTCAAAGCTGAATTAAAAGAATTCTCGTGGATTGATTTCCAAGAAATATGAATTTCAACGAGAGAGAGAGAGCGAGACAATGGAGAGAATGGAGAAATTAAAAACGGGGAGAATGGGGAAATTTAAAAAGTAAAAAGTAATAGAACATTCAATGATATAAAGCAACATAAACATATAAAATAAATATGTTTAATATATTTATAACATTAAAAAGGTGATAAAAACATGAGTAAGGCACAAAAGACTACAAAATGGCAAACAAATGTTAAGAATAAAATGCAACTTCTAGAAGAGTAAAAATATATTTCATATTTACATTTAAAAACATATTTAATACTTACATTTTTAAGTCAATATATGAGATTATCAGTCAGATGCAGTTCAGGAGAGGACTGATTTTCTATTGCCTAAGAAGCTCCTTGCCTGGACAGCCACATTCCATCCCTTCTCACTGAGGTGTTTCCTCATGACCTTGACTAAAATGTCTAACTTTCTCCACTCTGGAGATTTCATATATAATTTCCTCTTTTTATTTTTTGTTCTATTTCTCCTTCTAGAATGAGACCTCTATTGAGTAGTGGACACTGTTCATTTTCTTCACTGAAGTAGTTCAGGACCTATAAGAGTGTTTAAATATAGAAGTAGCTCAGTCAGTATTTACTGATTGAATAGAATGGTGAGCCTGAAACAAATTAAGAAGAACACAATTAAAAAGTCCAGCAGATATAACATATGAAGAAGAGTAAGAGAGCAAAATAGGATAAAAAATTATCAGAAAGCAAAACAAAAAGCCAAAGCTATTTCAACTAGCTATTGCAGAATAATAATGACATAATTATAGGATCCAGTATGTCTAGCAACTAACTAAAGAAATTTCAGAAAGAGGGAACAGAAACATTAGAGAAACAGAAATGATCAATAAATAACATGAACAATAAATAACATGATTTATGATTTACATAAGTCACCATAATAGTCTAATAATGTAAATGATGACTATTACATCACAACAGTCAGAAGATCAGAGGAGAGACACCATGTTCACCATATATATGTTTGATGATAAGATAAGGACTATCAAGAAAAAAATCAAGAAATGTTACATAGAAATGTAAATGAATGTGTTCAGCTGAAATAAAGTGTTTGTCTTTGGATGTTAGTCGAGGGGTACAAAATTTCAGTTATACAAGATAAATAAATTCTGGAACTCTAACATAGAACAATGTGGTGATAGTAAACCATATTGTATTGTATATTTCAATTTTGCTAGGCGGGCCGACTTTAAGTGTTCTTGGCACACAAGTACACACACACACATATACACACAAACACACGCAAAGTAACTACCTGAGATTATGGGTATGTTAAGTAGCTTGATTGGTGAATATTTCACAAGGTATACATATAGTAAATGATCAACTTTGACACCTTAAGTGTATACATTTGAATTGTCAATGGTACCTCCAAAAAGTTGGGGGAAAAGGTGAAATAATAAAGACACACAAACCGAAAGTGGGAATCAAAAATTTGAAGTGGCTGGATAGTTACTTGTGTTTTTAGTCATAAACCTTGTGGTACAATTTGGGTTTTAAAATATATATGTGAGTTAATCTGATAAAGAATTAGGATGACGGCCGAGCATGGTGACTCACGCCTGTAATCCCAGCACTATGGGAGGCCAAAGCAGGTAGATCACCTGAGGTCAGGAGTTTGAGACCAACCTGGCCAACATGGTGAAACCCCATCTCTATGAAAAATACAAAAATTAGCCGGGCGTGGTGGTGCATACCTGTAATCCCAGTTACTTGGGAGGCTGAGGCAGGAGAATCGCTTGAACCTGGGAGGCTGAGGTTGCGGTAAGCCGAGATTGCGCCACTGTACTTCAGCCTGGGTGACAGAGTGAGACTCTGTCTCAAAAAAAAAAAAAAAAAATTAGAACAATAATTATACATTTGAGACTATATTTTATAGTAATAAAAGTAAATATCCTTTTTTTTCACCAAAACTGGAATGCAGAATGTTTGGCTGCACACATAATCATTTGTTGGTGATGATCTAAAATAATGGAAGTGAATCTACACTTCATTCTTCAAAATCGTATATAAAATATTTTGTACCTTTGTAGCACATTGAAAAAAAGATTTTGAAATACATGTATGTTTAAGGCAAATAAACTCTCATTCCAAGTAAGCTGGTTAAATACACACACACACACACACACACACACCACATCCAAGGAAAATACATGTCTTAACAGATATTGAAGATATTTACAATATTTTGGAAAAGTTTAATCCTAAATCAATATATTTTTTCAAAGGGAAAACGTTTATTTTGGAAAAAAAGTTTTCAGTATTAAGGAGGTTTTGAAATTTAAAGTTCACAGAAACAAAGGCTTCAACCTCAAACCTTTACCAGGGAGAAAAGGCTTCATTATCAGCTGCTGTCAGCCACGTGTGTCAGCTGGTACCAAGTCCTGTAATCATTTGGAAAGAAAGGAAAAAATACCTGTTTTCATTATGAATTCACAATCTATTATATGTGTTATAATAAAACAATTTAAAAATCAGTCAACAAAATATTTGATAAAATATCTATATCTGCTTTGCTGGGAGATATGACAGGGCTTCGCAGCTAATAGGCTACCCAAATTGCAAAACATTGTAGCAAAAACAAGCACTGGAATCAAGTCTCACTTCTGCCAAGTTTCATGCTGGTGATGATTTTTTTTTTTTTTTTTTTTTGAGATGGAGTCTCGCTCTGTCGCCCAGGCTGGAGTGCAGTGGCACGATCTCGGCTCACTGCAAGCTCCACCTCCCGGGTTCATGCCATTCTCCTGCCTCAGCTTCCCGAGTAGCTGGGACTACAGGCGTCCGCCACCGCGCCCGGCTAATTTTTTGTATTTTTGGTAGAGATGGGGTTTCACCGTGGTCTCAATCTCCTGACCTCGTGATCCACCCACCTCGGCCTCCCAAAGTGCTGGGATTACAGGCGTGAGCCACCGCTCCCAGCCTGATGATTTTTATTAAATAAGATATTTTAGAGGCAGCGTGAGGCTTGCCTTGGTTTGCTTTATGACTTTGCATGAATTTTCAGCAATTTCAAAAAACAGAGAAGGATTTGTGTATATTAATCTTCACCTAAAATATTTTATGAAACACAGTTTCTTTGAAGGAAAGGCATGATTTCAACTTTCACTAAATAATTATAGCTGATGTTTATCCATTGCCTACTATGTGCTATACTTGATATGAAGTGTTTGATATTAATGTTCTCATGTGAAATATGCACTGTCCATGCAATGCCTCCGTGGTAGGGAGAGAAAAGATTGTATTTCTGGGAGTGCAGGGACTTAAAAGCTCTGGAGAGAAATTAGATCGTTCCCATTAAATGCTTCCCTTTAGACTCTGATGAATTGGAATGATAAACAGTTAATCTGTTATTTTGGCAAACAAAAATTTGGATTCCTCTAAATTCTATGTCCGTCAGTGTAGATGGGTTTTCTGCTATGTAAACGTCACATTTCCCAATAGTTACGGATAGTGTGTATTTCACAAACATCAATGAATAAAAAAAGAATTATAAAGCAGCTTACTGTGTTTGGTCTTTTTAAATTTTTGAACACAAAATGAAGAGTCTCTGGTTTACAAGGCAAAGAAAGACACATTAAATAGGAATTTTAAAAGTGTTCCATTGACATGAGATTAAGAATTTTACTAGTTCTTAGACTTGGTGGGGGGAAGGAAAAAGAAAGGGAAACTAAGACCAAATTCACTCTTTGTTGATGCCAAGTGTTCTTGAAAAAGAGGGTTTAAAGTGAAATATTTAGCACAAATTGAATCTGTATTAACTTGAATTTTGATATTTGATAGTTAAAGCAAAAGTCAAATTGTATGAATTTGGTATTCAGTTTTTTCTAATCTTAGTGCATGAACCTACTTTTTTTTAAAAAAAATTGTCATTTTCAGGTTAAAATTGAAGAGGTGGCTTATTATTCTTCAGTTGGGCTGCAATTCACTCTCCTACCCCAATCATTTCCACCATTCTTATGGCAACAATAGCCAATATTGCTGTACACACACAAAAAAAACTGACTGCTGTGGCTGACCCAAACCATGTAACAACCATGATTTTGCTTCTTGACAGCACTCCCCATCATTATACATCAAAGATCACAATGGCCACTTAATGACAAAAGCCAGCATGGCTAGAGACTGAGAGAAGCAAAAATGTTCCAAAACTGTCATTGTAGCAGAATAAAAATTGTGCAGTGACACCTCATTAAATCACCAGAACCTCAACATTCTCATACAATTCTATTGTAACTAGTGGTAGAGATCAAGAGACTGAAGGGAGAAAAATGTCACCTACTATTTCTAACACAAGTCATTAAACTAGTTCAGCATGTCTGGATGTCTTCCAAATGGCCTAAATGTTCCTGACTGTGTGGCTACTAGCTTAACTCTCTGCAGTCCTTGACTGACAGCTAATCAACCCTGAATTTGATAGCCATTTTGGCACCATGTGTATAAAACCGGAATGAACTAAGCTGTTTATTTGTACATCTTAGCTTTTGCCTTTTATGTTATGTTTATTTCTCAACTTATACCATTTACACATTTTCTGATAACCCTATTACCAATTCAAGAGTGATAGGAGAAATGAAACAAATATTCTCCATAAAGAAAAACATTTCCAAGGTATTTTAAAGTTTAACATACATATTTTAGAATAAATTATTAATAAATTAGCACATTTATTTAATGAAACAAATATTCTCCATAAAGAAAAACATTTCCAAGGTATTTTATTTATTTATTTATTTTTATTTTTTCATGTTTAGCTTGAATTTAATAGAAGTGCATGTATTGAATGATAATTGCAAAGAGGCTTATGAACAAGCAGTATATTTGGAAGATTTTTCTGTATAAAATGATTTTTAAAAGTATGTTAACTGGTATTATCAATCCTCTGACTTTTTATTATATTATTATATTATGGATAATTTTTATTCCCTCTAAGATATTCAACTGAGGAAGAAAAAGTAGTTTTCTTAAATAATTGACATGATGTGTTTACATATTTGTTTTGAAATATGTGTAGCTATTTAATAAGAATTATTTATTTTCAGCTCATTATTTTTCTGTGGATAGTATGATCATGTAATTTATTTTTCAAGTTTCTCACGTATGTATATTGTATAAGCTGTATTCACCAGTTTGGAAAACAGTAGGATTCTTGTTTTCTCTTAAATTTTACTATCAGTAATAATTATCAATGTAATGTGATGAATTCTTTATTATGATTCACATAACTAGGAAAAGAATTCTTAGAAAATACATATTCTGTGCTTTCCCTCTTTCTAATAGTCATGGATAGGAGGAAGCTATATTGAATTTTAAAATAGTTTAACAGAAGTAATTGGATCTCACACAACAGAAAATCAGTTTAAAATATACATTTTGCCAGCTCAGAAAATTCAGTCCATTATCACTACTGAATTCACGTTTATTCTTTTTCTTGCAAAACAGATAAGAAAAACCTCCATTGTATCCAGAGGCCTTAAGTTTGGCTTAATTCTTCTTCCTCCAGCCCACCAAAATAATATTATTTGCAAAGAATTTAGAAAAATGTAATGATGTAATAACTCTTCATTGTCTTATTCCTGGGAGCTAACCAAATCCCTCACTATATGCAGGTTAATTAGATTTCTACAAGACTCCGCCTGGTCAATGGAGGGGAAAGAAATGATCCTAAAAAATCCAAGCCCTCTAAAATAAGTGCCTCTGACACTACAAGAGTCTGTTTTATGCTCAAAATACATTGAAGCATCTCTCAGTCTTTGTTGAGTTCCTGCACACATCATGGTACCTGAGCACCCTTACAGCTGTAATTCTCTGGAAAACCATGAGGCATCTTTAGTTTACCCAAAGTGGATTTGGTTATAAAAAGAGTTCATAAACGCTGTTTGCATACTTTTCTGGTTGTTATAGGCAGTAACCAAAATGAGCATGTGTTTCATAGAAACGAGTAACATAACACTATGAAAGCCTACCAACACATCAAAGCTTTAGTGGTACTCTATTTGATATCACTTTTCCTGTGAGGGAACTGAAGTAGACAAACTTTGTCTTGACCACTGAGGTGGCATTTTCGGTGGCATTGGCACCATTGTTTGCACAAGTAGTTGATGCGGCTGCTTGAGAAACCCTATGCAGATCATAGTGACTTTTTTATTTATTATACTTTAAGATTTAGGGTACATGTGCACATTGTGCAGGTTAGTTACATATGTATACATGTGCCATGCTGGTGCGCTGCACCCACTAACTCGTCATCTAGCATTAGGTGTATCTCCTGATGCTATCCCTCCCCGCTCCCCCCACCCCAACACAGTCCCCAGAGTGTGATATTCCCCTTCCTGTGTCCATGTGATCTCATTGTTCGATTCCCACCTATAAGTGAGAATATGCAGTGTTTGGTTTTTTGTTCTTGCGATAGTTTACTAAGAATGATGATTTCCAATTTCATCCATGTCCCTACAAAGGACATGAACTCATCATTTTTTATGGCTGCATAGTATTCCATGGTGTATATGTGCCACATTTTCTTAATCCAGTCTATCATTGTTGGACATTTGGGTTGGTTCCAAGTCTTTGCTATTGTGAATAATGCTGCAATAAACATACGTGTGCATGTGTCTTTATAGCAGCATGATTTATAGTCCTTTGGGTATATACCCGGTAATGGGATGGCTGGGTCGAACGGTATTTCCGGTTCTAGATCCCTGAGGAATCGCCACACTAACACAATGGTTGAACTAGTTTATAGTCCCACCAACAGTGTAAAAGTGTTCCTATTTCTCCACATCCTCTCCAGCACCTGTTGTTTCCTGACTTTTTAATGATTGCCATTCTAACTGGTGTGAGATGGTATCTCATTGTGTTTTTGATTTGCATTTCTCTGATGGCCAGTGATGATGAGCATTTTTTCTTGTGTTTTTTGGCTGCATAAATGTCTTCTTTTGAGAAGTGTCTGTTCATGTCCTTCGCCCACTTTTTGATGGGGTTGTTTGTTTTTTTCTTGTAAATTTGTTTGTGTTCATTATAGATTCTGGATATTAGCCCTTTGTCAGATGAGTAGGTTGCGAAAATTTTCTCCCATTTTGTAGGTTGCCTGTTCACTCTGATGGTAGTTTCTTTTGCTGTGCAGAAGCTCTTTAGTTTAATTAGATCCCATTTGTCAATTTTGTCTTTTGTTGCCATTGCTTTTGGTGTTTTAGACATGAAGTCCTTGCCCATGCCTATGTCCTGAATGGTAATGCCTAGGTTTTCTTCTCGGGTTTTTATGGTTTTAGGTCTAACATTTAAGTCTTTAATCCATCTTGAATTGATTTTTGTATAAGGTGTAAGGAAGGGATCCAGTTTCAGCTTTCTACATATGGCCAGCCAGTTTTCCCAGCACCATTTATTAAATAGGGAATCCTTTCCCCATTTCTTGTTTTTCTAAGGTTTGTCAAAGATCAGATAGTTGTAGATATGCGGCATTATTTCTGAGGGCTCTGTTCTGTTCCATTGATCTATATCTCTGTTTTGGTACCAGTACCATGCTGTTTTGGTTACTGTAGGCTTGTAGTATAGCTTGAAGTCAGGTAGTGTGATGCTTCCAGCTTTGTTCTTTTGGCTTAGGATTGACTTGGCGATGCGGGCTCTTTTTTGGTTCCACATGAACTTTAAAGTAGTTTTTTCCAATTCTGTGAAGAAAGTCATTGGTAGCTTGATGGGGATGGCATTGAATCTGTAAATTACCTTGGGTAGTATGACCATTTTCACAATATTGATTCTTCCTACCCATGAGCATGGAATGTTCTTCCATTTGTTTGTATCCTCTTTTATTTCATTGAGCAGTGGTTTATAGTTCTCCTTGAAGAGGTCTTCACATCCCTTGTAATTTGGATTCCTAGGTATTTTATTCTCTTTGAAGCAATTGTGAATGGGAGTTCACTCATGATTTGGCTCTCTGTTTGTCTGTTGTTGGTGTATGAGAATGCTTGTGATTTTTGTACATTGATTTTTTATCCTGAGACTTTGCTGAAGTTGCTTATCAGCTTAAGGAGATATTGGGCTGAGACAATGGGGTTTTCTAGATATACAATCATGTCATGTGCAAACAGGGACAATTTGACTTCCTCTTTTCCTAATTGAATACCCTTTATTTCCTTCTCCTGCCTAATTGCCCTGGCCAGAACTTCCAACACTATGTTGAATAGGAGTGGTGAGAGGGCATCCCTGTCTTGTGCCAGTTTTCAAAGGGAATGCTTCCAGTTTTTGCCCATTCAGTATTATATTGGCTGTGGGTTTGTCATAGATAGCTCTTATTATTTTGAGATACGTCCCATCAATACCTAATTTATTGAGAGTTTTTAGCATGAAGGGTTGTTGAATTTTGTCAAAGGTTTTTCTGCATCTATTGAGATAATCATGTGGTTTTTGTCTTTGGCTCTGTTTATATGCTGGATTACATTTATTGATTTACGTATATTGAACCAGCCTTGCATCCCAGGGATGAAGCCCACTTGATCATGGTGGGTAAGCTTTTGGATGTGCTCCTGGATTCATTTTGCCAGTATTTTATTGAGGTTTTTTGCATCAATGTTCATCAAGGATATTGGTCTAAAATTCTCTTTTTTTGTTGTGTCTCTGCCTGGCTTTGGTATCAGAATGATGCTGGCCTCATAAAATGAGTTAGGGAGGATTCCCTCTTTTTCTATTGATTGGAATAGTTTCAGAAGGAATGGTACCAGTTCCTCCTTGTACCTCTGGTAGAATTCGGCTGTGAATCCATCTGGTCCTGGACTCTTTTTGGTTGGTAAGCTATTGATTATTGCCACAATTTCAGCTCCTGTTATTGTTCTATTGAGAGATTCAACTTCTTCCTGGTTTAGTCTTGGGAGAGTGTATGTGTCGAGGAATTTATCCATTTCTTCTAGATTTTCTAGTTTATTTGCGTAGAGGTGTTTGTAGTATTCTCTGATGGTAGTTTGTATTTCTGTGGGATCGGTGGTGATATCCCCTTTATCATTTTTTATTGCGTGTATTTGATTCTTCTCTCTTTTTTTCTTTATTAGTCTTGCTAGCGGTCTATCAATTTTGTTGATCCTTTCAAAAAATCAGCTCCTGGATTCATTAATTTTTTGAAGGGTTTTTTGTGTCTCTATTTCCTTCAGTTCTGCTCTGATTTTAGTTATTTCTTGCCTTCTGCTAGCTTTTGAATGTGTTTGCTCTTGCTTTTCTAGTTCTTTTAATTGTGATGTTAGGGTGTCAATTTTGGATCTTTTCTGCTTTCTCTTGTGGGCATTTAGTGCCATAAATTTCCCTCTACACACTGCTTTGAATGCGTCCCAGAGATTCTGGTATGTTGTGTCTTTGTTCTCGTTGGTTTCAAAGAACATCTTCATTTCTGCCTTCATTTCGTTATGTACCCAGTAGTCATTCAGGAGCAGTTTGTTCAGTTTCCATGTAGTTGAGCGGTTTTGAGTGAGATTCTTAATCCTGAGTTCTAGTTTGATTGCACTGTGGTCTGAGAGATAGTTTGTTATAATCTCTGTTCTTTTACATTTGCTGAGGAGAGCTTTACTTCCCAGTATGTGGTCAATTTTGGAATAGGTGTGGTGCGGTGCTGAAAAAAATGTATATTCTGTTGATTTGGGGTGGAGAGTTCTGTAGATGTCTATCAGGTCCGCTTGGTGCAGAGCTGAGTTCAATTCCTGGGTATCCTTGTTGACTTTCTGTCTCGTTGATCTGTCTAATGTTGACAGTGGGGTGTTAAAGTCTCCCATTATTAATGTGTGGGAGTCTAAGTCTCTTTGTAGGTCACTCAGGACTTGCTTTATGAATCTGGGTGCTCCTGTATTGGGTGCATACATATTTAAGATAGTTAGCTCTTCTTGTTGAATTGATCCCTTTACCATTATGTAATGGCCTTCTTTGTCTCTTTTGATCTTTGTTGGTTTAAAGTCTGTTTTATCAGAGACTAGGATTGCAACCCCTGCCTTTTTTTGTTTTCCATTGGCTTGGTAGATCTTCCTCCATCCTTTTATTTTGAGCCTATGTGTGTCTCTGCATGTGAGATGGGTTTCCTGAATACAGCACACTGATGGGTCTTGACTCTTTATCCAATTTGCCAGTCTGTGTCTTTTAATTGGAGCATTTAGTCCATTGACATTTAAAGTTAATATGGTTATGTGTGAATTTGATCCTGTCATTATGATGTTAGCTGGTTATTTTGCTCGTTAGTTGATGCAGTTTCTTCCTAGTCTCGATGGTCTTTACATTTTGGCATGATTTTGCAGCGGCTGGTACCGGTTGTTCCTTTCCATGTTTAGTGCTTCCTTCAGGAGCTCTTGTAAGGCAGGCCTGGTGGTGACAAAATCTCTCAGCATTTGCTTGTCTGTAAGGTATTTTATTTCTCCTTCACTTATGAAGCTTAGTTTGGCTGGATATGAAATTCTGGGTTGAAAATTCTTTTCTTTAAGAATGTTGAATATTGGCCCCCACTCTCTTCTGGCTTGTAGGGTTTCTGCCGAGAGATCCGCTGTTAGTCTGATGGGCTTCCCTTTGAGGGTAACCCGACCTTTCTCTCTGGCTGCCCTTAACATTTTTTCCTTCATTTCAACTTTGGTGAATCTGACAATTATGTGTCTTGGAGTTGCTCTTCTCGAGGAGTATCTTTGTGGTGCTCTCTGTATTTCCTGAATCTGAATGTTGGCCTGCCTTGCTAGATTGGGGAAGTTCTCCTGGATAATATCCTGTAGAGTGTTTTCCAACTTGGTTCCATTCTCCCCATCACTTTCAGGTACACCAGTCAGACGTAGAGTTGGTCTTTTCACATAGTCCCATATTTCTTGGAGGCTTTGCTCATTTCTTTTTATTCTTTTTTCTCTAAACTTCCCTTCTCGCTTCATTTCATTCATTTCATCTTCCATTGCTGATACCCTTTCTTCCAGTTGATCGCGTCGGCTCCTGAGGCTTCTGCATTCTTCACGTAGTTCTGGAGCCTTGGTTTTCAGCTCCATCAGCTCCTTTAAGCACTTCTCTGTATTGGTTATTCTAGTTGTACATTCTTCTAAATTTTTTTCAAAGTTTTCAACTTCTTTGCCTTTGGTTTGAATGTCCTCCTGTAGCTCAGAGTAATTTGATCGTCTGAAGCCTTCTTCTCTCAGCTCGTCAAAGTCATTCTCCATCCAGCTTTGTTCTGTTGCTGGTGAGGAACTGTGTTCCTTTGGAGGAGGAGAGGCGCTCTGATTTTTAGAGTGTCCAGTTTTTCTGTTCTGTTTTTTTCCCCATCTTTGTGGTTTTGTCTACTTTTGGTCTTTGATGATGGTGATGTACAGATGGGTTTTTGGTGTGGATGTCCTTTCTGTTTGTTAGTTTTCCTTCTAACAGAGAGGACCCTCAGCTGCAGGTCTGTTGGAATACCCTGCCGTGTGAGGTGTCAGTGTGCCCCTGCTGGGGGGTGCCTCCCAGTTAGGCTGCTCGGGGGTCAGGGGTCAGGGACCCACTTGAGGAGGCAGTCTGCCCGTTCTCAGATCTCCAGCTGCATGCTGGGAGAACCACTGCTCTCTTCAAAGCTGTCAGGCAGGGACATTTAAGTCTGCAGAGGTTACTGCTGTCTTTTTGTTTGTCTGTGCCCTGCCCGCAGAGGTGGAGCCTACAGAGGCAGGCAGGCCTCCTTGAGCTGTGGTGGGCTCCACCCAGTTCGAGCTTCTGGGCTGCTTTGTTTACCTAATCAAGCCTGGGCAATGGCGGGCGCCCCTCCCCCAGCCTCACTGCAGCCTTGCAGTTTGATCTCAGACTGCTGTGCTAGCAATCAGCGAGACTCCGTGGGCGTAGGACCTTCCGAGCCAGGTGTTGGTTATAATTTCGTGGTGCGCCGTTTTTTAAGCCCGTCGGAAAAGCGCAGTATTCGGGTGGGAGTGACCCGATTTTCCAGGTGCTGTCCGTCACCCCTTTCTTTGACTCGGAAAGGGAACTCCCTGACCCCTTGCGCTTCCCAAAGTGAGGCAATGCCTCGCCCTGCTTTGGCTCGCGCACGGTGCGCGCACCCACTGACCTGCGCCCGCTGTCTGGCACTCCCTAGTGAGATGAACCCTGTACCTCAGATGGAAATGCAGAAATCACCCGTCTTCTGCGTCGCTCATGCTGGGAGCTGCAGACCGGAGCTGTTCCTATTCGGCCATCTTGGTTCCTCCCTCCAAGGTATTTTAAAGTTTAACATACATATTTTAGAATAAATTATTAACAAATTAGCACATTTATTTGATCAAAAGATAGCTTGCTTGAAGAGAGAGATAAAAACCTAAAAGTCCAAAAACAAAAGAGAGTTTAAAAGTCACTGTAGCCTCAAAAATATGGATGAAATTTTTCTTTTCCTCTGAGCAAGTGAACTAAAACTATTTATGTACACTACAAGTACAGAGTATTGTGCTTTATGATGTCCCAATAATTGAAAATAATTCAACCCCACACATCATAAATACGATTGCTTTTGGTGAATCTCATAGTTGGTATTTACTGAGTATCACACTTTAAATTTGTCTACTACTTGTGAAACTGGGAGATACATGTACGAGTATATGATTTTATGAAGTGGATAGACAGATAATTCTGGGTTATTTTCAAACACTTTACGCACCTGTGACAACTCACTACATCTAAAAAGAAAAATGTGTGGGCATTTTACTTACAATAAGTTCTTATAGTTTTTTGGTGTTTTAAATGTTACTTTACCAGTAATATAAATATTTTTGCAGTATAAATTTGGATTTTTTCTATGACATCTCCACTGCTACATATACTAATAGTTAAGATTCAGACTACATTTTCACAGTATAAGAGAAGTACCTAATGGCTTAAAATAAGAACAGCAATTCAAGAATCTTGTGATCATTTTGATAAATGTTCTTGTTTGTTTGTTTTTGTTTTGAGATGGAGTCTCGCTCTGTCGCCCAGGCTGGAGTGCAGTGGTGCAATCTCAGCTCACTGCAACCTCTGCCTCCTGGATTCAAGCAATTCTCCTGCCTCAGCCTCCTGAGTAGCTGCAACTACAGGTGCAGCCGCCATGCCTGGCTAATTTTTATTTTCTATTTTAGGAGAGACAGAGTTTCACCATGTTGCCCAGGCTGGTCTCGAGCTTCTGAGCTCAGGCAATCTGCCTGCCTTGGCCTCCCAAAGTGCTGGGATTACAGGCATGAGCCACTGTGCCCTACCCTGTTAAACGTTCTTTAAGAAAGAAATATGCTCTTTGTGCTTTATTTTTATAAAGAGCCATACTAATGGGGAAATAACATGTTTTTGAAAGAATTAGATAAAGAAGATATACTCTACCCAAGTATGTAACCATTTAGAAAATCAAACATCCTTTTCAGCTCCCACGCCATTTATCCCAAGCATCCTGTCTTCCACTGAGTTTATTGTCCAATGGATATTATTGCCTTCAGATCTCCCTTGTGCTCAGTCATTTTGTAATAATAGCCAGACCTGAAAGAGCTGTGTTTATCACACCTACTTCAAGGTCAACGCTGTGCTGTCTGTTTGGTAGAAAGTGGCTTTTAAAATCTGAGCTCAAAAATAAATCTTTTACAAGGAATTTATTCTATTCATCTAGGAGTTGTTGTGAAAATAAGCACTGCTTTGATAGAAATATTTTGTTAAATTTTCAAATCTCAACATCTCGATCACACACATGCTTCAGCTGGACTCTTGGGTTTAAAAGTCTGAACGTAAATATACAAGTGCTTTTTGGTACATCTGCTTTGGTCATATCCATGGATATTTTCTTGGTGGGAAGGTAGGAAGTAAATAAGAAAGAATATTAACTGGGCAACGTGGAAGTAGCTATGTAGCCAGATCCCAATTTTAAATCACCACATTGAATCCTTCATGCTGGGAATTGGGAATTGACTAAACTTTCCAGGGTAGAATCCTAGAAACAACTTGCTTCTGGTGAGGCTCCATGTGTAAATGATGGTAATTTCTATGAATAGCTGCTATTTCAAGTAAGGTGTTCAGAGTATGCATAGGCTTTCCAGAGAAAATGCTGATGGACCATCAATGTTTGCTCTGCAGTATTGATACAGACACAAGAAATACTGGGTAGAAGAGGGTTTATACACTCAAGCTTGACAAAAGGTGTCTCTCCCTCTCTCTCTCTCTCTCGTGTGTGTGTGTGTGTGTGTGTAAACTCCATCTTGTCTCAGAGTGAAACAGTAAGAGTTGAACTGTATAATATGCCTGTGATATTTACCAAAGTGTTATATAACAGCCACAGAACAGCATCCTACACAAGAGGTGATATTGTTCCTAGGATTCCCATCTTATCACATTGTGGAGATTTTCCACTTGGAATTGAAATATTAATATTTAGATTAAAATAAAACCAGAGGCAGTGTTTAGGATAAATAAATCTGAAGACTAAATGAAGTAATTTATCAGATTCCAGGTTCTATTACTAGGAAAGAGGAAAAGAAAGTCTAAGAGAAACTTTTCCTCACTAGATTCTTTACAGATATTTTTTCTTTTCTTTCTTTCTTTCTTTCTTTCTTTTTTTTTTTTTTTTTTTTTTGACAGAATCTTGCTCTGTCACCAGGCTGGAGTGCAGTGGCATGATCTCAGCTCACTGAGACCACGACCTTCTAGGTTCAAGCGATTCTCCTGCCTCAGCCTCCCGAGTAGCTGGAACTACAGGCACAGGGCACCATGTTTGGCTAATTTTTTTCTATTTTTAGTAGAGATGGGGTTTCACTCTGTTAGCCAGGATGGTCTTGATCTCCTGACCTCGTGATCTCAAGGCCTCGTGCCGGCCTTGGCCTCCCAAAGTGCTGGGATTACAGGCGTGAGCCACCACATCGGACCTCTTTATGGATATTTTAAACATAAGTAGAGTCCTTGAATCCAACACTCTCAATCCTTTGAACCCTTCTCAATCTTCTTTGCCTTGATTCTTTGCAGAAAAACATTAATGTCTCTGTATGAGAAGTAGCACGACATATTGGTGACCATGGCCAGTTAACGGGCCTGACAGCCCAGGCTCTGATCCCTGCTCTGCTAAGGGGCAGTCCTGTGACACTAGGCACAAAATGGTAACAACACTACTAATCTCACGGGGCAGTAGTGAGAATTAAATGACTTAATATATGAAAATGCTGAGAATGATGAATACTTTCACTGGGTATTATAAGGTTCACATAGCTTGACTCATTATTTTTATAATTCGGATTATTATTCTTCACTGGCTATATCTGGCCCAGAAAACTAAAACCTTGCCTAATAAAAATAATATATCTTTAAGATAAAATGTGATGAATAATGCCAGTTGTTTATTTTCTAAAGTCTTAACAAACAATCTGTTAATAAAGCAAAGCTATTTCTTAGAATGGACTGAATGCTTAGCTGTGTCACAGAAGGGGAAAGTCAGAAGGGTACTTAAAGGACTTTGATATCTGAGCTTCTGAGCATTAGAACATGTACTTTCAAGAAGGGAAACTAGCTTGGTTAAAGTTTGAAATGTAATATATTAGGATTGATAGACTTAGTGAGGAGAGGGTCCTGAAGAGAATCTTAAAAACTAAACTGTGCTTTGGTAAATGACGTATTTGCCCAGGTAAGCAAACTATTGTCTCAGAGAAACAACTTCCCAGAGATTTTTTTTCTGAAGGAAACACTGAAGTCATTTTTGGTGTACAGTCATCAATTTCCTTAGTAACGGTAACGGTTTCTTGGAATAAATAACAAAGTCATGTTGATCTAGGTGGTCCTGGCTCTTAGTGTTAATGGCTATGTTGTGTTGATGCAGGTGATTGTAGTTTTCAAAATCACAAAGTTTAAATTATCCATGATATTAAAACTCAGTTGATATTATTTTGATGTATTATCACTCATCCAGTAATTATGATATTAAGAGCTAAATAAATACATTTACATTCTGATTTTATTTAATGCTATATTATAAATAATTTCAATTTTAATAAAATGATTATATTAAGAAGTATAATATGATTAGTTCACCTTATAACTTTATTTCTTATTCCTTACAACTTATTTCATTATATTCCACAGAGACATTTAAGTTGTATAATTGATTTTAGACTTTGCAAACTGTGCTGCGATTGACATTCTTGTACATTAAACTTTGTGTGCATTATTTTTATTTTCTTACGAGAAATTCCAGTTGAGGACAAAAGTTCCAATTCAAAGATCATGAATACATTTTATATATTTTCAGATTGCACTCAAGTAATAATGTCGAGAGACTTCATTTAAATAATAAGATTTTAGAAACTTAACTAAATGGCCATACAGCTATGGCTCAGAACATTTTAATAATTTTCTTGGAAAATTGCCTTAGAACATATGAATAAGTCATGCAAGAAGAACCATTTTACTACTGTATAAACTGTCTTAGTTTTTAACCCTAAATGTTATTATCCACCTTTGTCAAAAATCCTAATAAGACTTGGCTTTCAGTAAAGTTTTCATGTTTACAAGAGTGAAATCTTTTATTAAAAAGATTAGCAACCACAGTAGGGTTATTTTAAAAAGTATATTACATATTATCAGAACAACTTTCTTAAATCTTGAGAATAATTATTGTGTGTTTGAAGAAAAGTAAAACCCAAAGGATGATTTTTTGGAAGAGTCTTTCTCATTTTACTTTATGTTTTGAGTTATTTTTGAAATTCTAATATATTACTAAATTAAGCATAATTCCACCAAACACCTTGGTACTGCTATGTGCAGGAAGGTGAATAAGTTGTCATTCCAGACATCGAGGTGCTTATCAGCAATATGACCATTTGTGTACCAATTAAGTGGGACCCCGTAAGAACAAAATGCTTGCCCTCCTTCCTATTTTTTTTAGCCACTATATTAGGTGGGGAAAGACTAGCTGTGAGAAAACTGGGTGAGCCAATTGGCTCTGGGAATCTCATGTTCCACTTTTGTACAGTCAAAATAACATTTATCTCATAAGCTTCTTGTGGAAACTACGTGCAATAAAGTATGTAGAGGTACCACAAAGGCCATAAAAATGGCAGAAATTTAAGCAACTAGTATTATTTATGAAAAATCTATCTTCACTTTTAGAGGTGTTGAGATTTTTAACCTTGTTTTACAAAACCCTGAGATATACTAAGACTGAAGTACATGTTTTTACCAAACTCCTTAAATTTATAGGTAATATCATTGAAAAAATATGTTTTTCTTTTATTTTACACTGACAAAAGTAAATTTTCTATTTTTAAATGCATGTTGATTGTCTGGTAAATTGACTGGCTTCTTCTTTATTTATTTATTTTTTTTTGAGACAGAGTCTTGCTCTGTTGCCCAGGCTGGAGTGCAGTGGCATGATCTTGGCTCACTGCAAGCTCTGCCTCCCGGATTCACACCATTCTCCTGCCTCAGCCTTCCGAGTAGCCAGGACTACAGGCGCCCGCCACCACGCCCTGCTAATTTTTTGTATTTTTAATAGAGATGGGGTTTCACCGTGTTAGTCAGGAAGGTCTTGATCTCCTGACCTCGTGATCCACCCACCTCGGCCTCCCAATGACTGGCTTCTTATAACCAACAGGTGTTTGAGTGTTTGAGCATGTGCCTTCATTACAAGTCAGGAAAATCAGAGATGGGAGGGTGTTTTGGAATACCCAGAGGTCATACCCAGGAGGTGAGCCAGAGAACTAGGCAGATTGAGGAAATAGGACAGAAATGGCAGATATTAACTGTTTTGAATGAAACAGATGAGGTTTTTGAGACATAGCAGTTCCTTATAAATAATGACATAGTATGTTGATGATATCTAAGACTTGTAATGTAACTGCTTATGAGCTTGAACTGGAAAAATGAATAAAAGATTAAATAAAGTGGACCGAAGACATAAAGATACTGAAGATGGAAACCTTATTTAAAAAAAAAAAAAAAAAGGAGGCAACACAATCTTGACAGTTGGCAGCTTTGTGATACGTGAGGGGATTGGGATAAGGGAGAGAGGGGTGATAGCAGACAGAAAAGCAATGTAGAAATAAAAGATCACAGGAATATGTAAGCAAAACAATTTTTCCTAAGAAGATGTAGTTTGGAGCTCTATTTCAGATGCTCAAATGTATTGCTCTATATAAATCCCATAAGTACATGTCATGACTCCAGGTAGTTTATTGTACTCATGAATAAAGACACATTTCACTCTGAAAAGGAAGGGAATGAAATACTTTTCTTTAGGAAAAGTAATTCCTATTTCATGCCAATGTTTTGAAAACTACTCATCAAATGCATAGGTTTAGCATTCCCAATCCTCCTGATACGGTTTGGCTGTGTCCCCACCCAAATGTCATCTTGAATTGTAATCCACATAATCCACACATGTCATGGGAAGTACACGATGAGGGGTAATTGAATCATGGGGGCGGTTTCCCCCATGCTGTTCTCATGATAGTGAGTGAATTCTCACGAAATCTGACGGTTTTATAATCATTTGGCATTTCCACTGCTGGCACTCATTCTCTCTCCTGCCTCCCTATGAAGAGGTACCTTCCACCATGATTGTAAGTTTCTGAGGCCTCCTCACCCCTGCTGAACTGGGAGTCAGTTAAACCTTTTTCTTTGTAAATTATCCAGTCTCGGGTATTTCTTCATAGCAGTGTGAGAATGAACTAATACGCTTCCAGAAAAAAATTGCTGATTCTGTGGACTGGATTTAGCAGATTTTTTTCAATCTTTCTTTTGTGGTTAAGATGAAAGAGATACTTGGTACTAATTTATCTCCCAATTCCACTCATAATTAAATTAGCTATTGTTTAATTATATGCATTATCAGAGCACCCTACTTGGCATAGCCATAGGAAATATTACATAGAATATTTCCAAGCATTTTCTACAATGTTTCCAAGCATTTTACCATTTCCTGAAGCTCAGGTAATCATATCCGTGGGACCAGAGTATAATCCTGGGTGCAAGAATATAACCTCTCAGTCACAGAACTAAATGGATAATCAGTACCTGGAAGAAGGGCCAGAGGTAGAACAAAATTTCTCTTGGCAGGTCTTTGATCAGCAGCAGAGGAAAACACAGGTATAAGCACCTTATCGAAATCGAAACTGCGCTGAGGGAAGACTTTGAAAAATTCAGGAAATAAGTGATAACACACAGCACTAACATTTGATTCTAAAGGACAATGTGTAAAATGGCATTTACAGATGTTGTTGTTTATTTATGTTGTTCTTTGTTGCCTGTTGGAGAAAATGTAAAATGTTTATCAACTTCCACTGATTCATTCCTGTCTTCCATATTCCCTTTACCCTACGTTTTCCATAGAATGCCTCAACTCTTAATCCTGCTGTAGTGGTGTGGAGAATGAGCCCAAGATTAGCAGCCACCTAGAGACCACTGTACCATTTAAGTAGCCCTTATAATGAAAAACATTCCCTATTCTGGAGGTCTTTCATTAGCTGAGTAAAAGAAACTCTCTGAGCCACATTTGCTGTGAATTTCAGTCATGTTTGACTATGCCACTGTTTCAAAATAATATTCACAATGAGAAGACAGCCATTTAACTATCCCCCACCCCATTCCCTGCAATTAAATGTATTTCCCTGGCACCCAAATATTAATATGGAATTTTGCCTTAGAAAACTTGGATAAATACATCATTCAAGGGAACATTTCTTTAATCTCTTCCCTATTTCTGTACTTTCATCTTTATCTAGCCTTTTTGATGGCCTTGAATGAAACTACATGAAGCTTGTAGAGCTTTGGCTAATGTGTTCCCTGTTATGCTTGACTCCCTTGTAGTTATGTTTTTTAAAATAACAGACACCAATTCTGTTTCACCCATTAAAATGATGCATTTTGATAAGCACGCTATAAATTATAACCTCCATTGCCATGTGACTAAACAAGGTCAGGGGCATGGGAAAGAAACATGGGGCATCTTTTGGTTCCTAGTATTTCAAATCAAGTTAATTCAAAAGATCATTGTTCTGTGCTCTTTGTGGGACCAATATTTAAACCTTAATGAAGCGATTAAACTACAGAATTTGATGAGTTTGGGTATAAAGGGGAATATTTTTTGAATAGGTTGTACATTTTCTTCAACTTTTATTACATGCATAGAGGAACTATTTACCTAATGTTGAGATTAATTTATTTATCCTTCTATTCTGTGAGGGGCTGTTTTTTAATAAGCCTCACATTTAGTTCTGAAATTATCAGTAGCTAAAGTGAAACTGCAAGTCACTATGAAAATTTCTCATTATGGAAAAAAAAGTACTAGTTTTTGTCAAGAGCAAAGCTTTCACTAATTCTGAGACCAAAGGAAATTTGTCACATATTGTGCATTGAAATCCTTCAAGCAACCACAATTAATAACTACTGTTTTCAAACATAAGCTATGAAATAAAATAAAACAATAATAAAGTGCATTTGCCCTGAGCTCTGCAACTGTGGCCCTCAAACATTAGTGGACCTGAAGAGCTGCTTCAGCCACAAATGCTGCCCGTCACCTCTGAGTTCCTGGTTCCTGGTTCAGAAGGTCTGGAGTGGAACCTGAGAATGTACATTTATTTTTGTACATTTATTTTGTTGTTGTTGGTTTTTTTTCTTTCTTTCTTTTTTTTTTTTTTTTTTTTTTTTTTTTAGATGGAGTTTTGCTCTTGTTGCCCAGGCTGGAGTGCAATAGCGCGATGTTGGCTCACCACAACCTCTGCCTCCAGGATTCAGGTGATTCTCCTGCCTCAGCCTCCTGAGTAGCTGGGATTGCAAGCATGTGCCACCATGCCCGGCTAAGTTTTTATATTTTTAGTAGAGACAGGGTTTCCTCCGTGTTGGTCAGGCTGGTCTCAAACTCCTGACCTCAGGTGATCCCCCCGCCTCGGCCTCCCAAAGTGCTGAGATTACAGCTGTGAGCCACCACACCCAGCTGAGAATGTACATTTCCAACAAGATCCCCTGAGATGCTGATCGGGACCACAGCTTGAGAACCATTGCTCTATGGAGGTTCCAAGATATTTACTTTTTAAAATAAGCTTTAGTATCTAGGTTCACTTTAGGTGCCTTTTAAATAAAAACTGAACTTGATGAAAGAGCACACTAGAGCCATTCCTAACCTGATATTCTCTTACCCAAAGCCAAAATACAGTCAAACACTCATGGACTGCATCTCCAGCTTCTTAGCAATAGATAAATTAAGTCATACATAAATAAGTGAATTCAATAAAATTGTTAATTGGTTATCGACCAGGTTCTGTGTTCTAGCCAATGGCATTAGACAAAGGCTCCCAGTGGGAAAATTTGTAAGAAAAAACACTAAGGATGGGAATCAGACATAAGCCAGGATGTGCAGAGAATGACAGCAAAGCTTCTCCCCCTCCTCCTCCCTTTTCTCTTCTTCCTTATTATTTTTACTACAAAGTAAAACTTCAGAGGAAACAATATCTTCCTATCTATATATTCCATAAATAATGCAGAGAGATTATAGTCAAGAAATTTACAATTGATTTCCTTATTTAGATCTGCACTGACCAACACATGTGTCTATCAAGCACTTGAAATGTGTCTAGGGCAAATCAAGATGAGCTGTAGGTATAAAATACACTCTGAATTTTGCATACTTAGTATAAAAACCAAAACAATGTTAACATCTCACCTATAATTTTGTTTTCATAAATGTTGAAGTAATAATATTTTGGATATATTTGTTTAAATAAAAATTAAAATTAATTTTACCTGTCTATTTTTACCTTATTTAATGTCTCCACTAGAACATTTAAAATTACCTATGTGGCTCAGGTTATACTTTTTGGATAGTTTGAGCTTAGATCTTTAGTCATCGTTATCTATCTCAGTCCAAAGTCATTCCTCACTCTTCCAAATGCCAGGAACACGATGAAATGCATCAGCATTAGCGGGGTTAAGGCCAGTACTGGCTCAAACCATGTTGGTATCCAGTGCTTAAACTGACAGCTCTTCATCTTCAATGCACTTTCATCTGCCAGAGGAAGGAGATACAGTGTTTCTTGTTTGATTCATTATTTAGTAGCTTATCTATTCAAGAAAATAAATCTTCTGTAGAGTTATCTTGTTCTTGATGTTTAAAAAATATTTTGGAATCATAATACTTACAATGGGATATTAACTAGATATACAATTTTAACTTGCTATCATACCAAAGGGTAAAGTCAATGATACTAAAAGTTTCTGGGATTTAGGGTAGGAACACATGTCATTTACACATAAATGAGAAAAACGACTGTCTTCACACTTTTTGCCTTCAACATTGGATGCTAGAAAACTATTGAGCTGTTCCTTTTAAAATTCTTAAAATAATTTCTAATCAAAAGTTAATATCCAGCTAAAATAAGCATCTATAATGACACATTGTCTGATCCACAAGGGCATAGAAAAATGTTTTTCCATTTTACAAGGAAGGTGCTTGCTGAAAAATACGATATACCGGGTAAAAAGAAGAAATGAGATCAGACAAATCATGCATTCAGCCCTGGGGATCAGTGAGGAAGACTCTCAGGATGGTGAGATGGTGAAAGTTAAGTGCACAGACTACAGAGAGGAGCAATCCAGGCTGAAAGGGGAGGAGAAATGGTTTTGAGAAAGGGTTCTCCAGGAGCAAAGGAGAATCAATTTTAAAATATGATAGAGACAATTTGTGGAATGCCAAAAACAAAGGCTACCTAAAAATATGAACTGAATACAAAAGTAAGTATTTTAGAGTTTGGAAGATTTATGTCTGCAATAGAATACTGCACTAGAAACCAAGTTGCTGAACTAGAGATAAATATTTCTTACTCTTAGAAATCATTATTAACTTAATCATCAATCAAGATTAAGATCTTCATCCTAGCACTTTGGGAGGCCGAGGCAGGAGGATCGCTTAAGCTCAGATATTTGAGATGAGCCTGGGCAACATAGGGAGACTCTGTCTCTATAAGTAACTAAAAGAAACAAAAAAAAATAGCCGAGTGTGGTGGCATGCGCCTGTAGTCCCAGCTCTTCAAGAGGCTGAGGTGGGAGGATTGCCTGGACCCCAGAAAGTCGAGTCTGCAGTGAGCCATGATTGTGCCACTGCATGCCAGGCTGAGTGACAAAGCAAGACCCTGTCTCAAGTAAAAATAAAAATACGATTTTTTTCAAAGTTTAAAAGACTGAATGGATTTATTACAGACAATAGATTGTGTAGTGATTTAGGTGAGAGGTGATGGTGGTTTGTTTGAAGGTGGTCTTGGTGGAAATGGAAAGAAGAGGGCAGACTAGAGATATATCTTGGACATAGAGACACAAACATACATAATACATGAAAACCAACAAATTGACAGCAACCTAAATCATGAGCCTGGAGATTCATCTAGTGAGTGGTGAATTGCTTAAAAGATAACAGGTAGCCTGTTAATGAAGCAAAGCTACAATTTATTGCGGGAAGAGACAACACCACCTTGATGGATGCTTGACAGAGTCTCAGAAAGGGAAGCCAGAATTGCTGCAATATTTTTTATAGCAGTTTCTTGGCTGAGCTCCAGTGGCTTAAGGCAGATCTTTTAAAGCAGAGGAACTGATCAGAAATGAGTCAACTTTGTGATATAATAGTTTAAGATTGCTGGGCACAGAGAAGTAAGGACTTTGAAGTGATTCTCAATAAGTATACTGTGGTTGATAAGCAAGTTGTTTGTACAGGTGAACAGTACAGTCTCCAATAAATTGACTTGTGGACATTTTATAAAGCATCTCTTTTTTTCTGGGCAAACAACGAAGTCTTCTTGATACAGGTAATCTACTGTTTTATTTAAATACTATCACCAAAGAGGGTCTCAATTCTCAAGATAGAATGTGGGAGGAATTGAGAGATGCAGCTAGAACTGAGCCCAAGAAGAAACATACATTTGAAAATAAGATATGAGAGGAAGCTTCAACAAGAAAACTAACAGTTAAAGGGGTTGGAATGAAATGGGGAGAGATTAATATCCTAGAAGCCAATGGAAGGAACTGTTGAACAGTATGAAGAGGAAAACGAAAATGAGGACTGACAAATTCCAACTGGAGCTAAAACATAGAAATAATTGGCAATGTTAGGGAAAGGCTTTAAAAAGCTAATATTAAACATTAAACTAAGTTAAGAAATGAATCACTGAAGAAGTGGAGAGAGTATATTTGAACTCTAGGGAGAATTTAACCATTTCAAATAAATTTTTCAAGAGATTTTATATCTCCTCATTTTTGAACACTTATAGTGGCATTGAAAATGCAGAAAATATAAGTATATCCAAAGAGAATAGTCATTAATCTTCTTTTTGTTTTGTTTGTGTGTTTTTTTTTTTTTTTTTTTTTTGCTTCAGATGGAGTTTTGCTTTTGTTGCCCATGCTGGACTGCAATGGCGTGATCTCGGCTCACTGCAACCTCAGCCTCCCCGGTTCAAGCAATTCTCCTGCCTCAGCCTCCCGAGTAGCTGAGATTACAGGCATGAGCTACCACGCCCAGCTAATTTTGTATTTTTAGTAGAGACGGGGTTTCTCCGTGTTGGTCAGGCTGATCTCTAACTCCTGACCTCAGGTAATCCACCTGCCTCGGCCTCCCAAAGTGCTGGGATTACGGGTGTGAGCCACTGTGCCCAGCCCATTTAATCTTTTTACACACAACTAGAGGGGAATGATAGAGGAAAAGTAAAAGGAAACTGTAACAAAAAACTTACATTAAATAGTTTCTGCCAAACACAAAGTGTTCATACAAACAGGTTTACAGGCAAAACATCATCAAGCAACAGGCTTACTACAAGCGAATCCTGCTAAATGTATTGATCTAAGCCCATTATTGTTTGCCACTGTTGCAAGCATATTTGGGGGCAAACCTAAATATACACAACTGTGAGTTTTCTCCAAGAGTACTAAATGAAATAAATGTATATTCATTTTCCCTTTTTGGACTTTTAATTTTCCTTTAATCCTTTCTGTTTCTCCCATTGGTGCTCTATCCTAATGTCAGCAAGCATCCCTTTGAGATATGACTTCCTTGTTAAAATGGATAGCTTGTCAGTTAATACACTTGGCTATGCACTCAGCTGTATAACTTGTTTCTCAGGAAAGGTGGATTTTTTTTTTTCCTGGGCTTCTGACTCCTTAGTTCTCTAACTCTTGTCTGAATTGGTGTGGTCCATGAAGCCATCCATAATTCCTGTCAGCCACAGCCAACACAGGATATGTGAGGATGTTGAGGATATGTTGAGGATAATTTCCTTCATCAAATGACACATAACATATCATTTTCTTTCCATGAGCTCAATGGCTTGTTGGAGAGATATGCATGTAAAGAAATATATTATATTTGACTAGAAAATGCCATAAGCCTATTGGAGTCGCTCTATTTCTTCATCTCCTTATTCTTTATCCTCCAACTTCTTCATAGAAAATCTGCACAGTATCTGTGCTATTCACTAATATACACTTAGTTGACCATTGGATACAACATAGGTGCTAGTATTGATTGGACAACTAAACAGGAATACGATTAAAGCAATATGAGAGAACCTTAAAACAAAGAGAGTGGAAGTAAAATCCATGAGGACGTCTTAAAGATGAGAGGGCCTTCCTCAGGGTGGGAAGTGGGGCATTTTAGCAAGTGCTTTGTGTGTAATGATGTGAGAAGATGATAGGGCCTGGAGTGCTTGGGAAAAAGAACAAAACACAGACATGGCAGAGATGCAGCTGGAATGTGGAATGTGTTCCTTATTGGAAGCTCTGGGGAATGTACTTCGAAGCTCATTCAAATTGTTGATCAAATTCTATTCTTGTAGTTGTAGGGCTAAGGTTTTTGTTTTCTCGATAGTTGTCAACCAGAGTACAGTTTTGCTCCTATAGGCTGTCACTTTCCTTCTCAAGTGTGCCATGAGCTCCAGGCCTCTACCTAACCTTTATACGTGGATCCCTACATCTAAGAGCCATAACATCATATCACATCCAATCCTTCTGATGCATCCAACCTCTAATTTTTCCCTGTATCTCTCTGACCCCAGCCAGAGGAAGTTCTCTGCTTTTAAGGGCACATGGGATTTAGTGGTTCCATCTGTATAATCCAGAATGATCTCCTTATTTTTGTTTTTTGTTTTTTTTTTGTTGTGTTGCGTTTTGAGATGGAGTTTCGCTCTTGTCACTGGGACTGGAGCGCAATGGCACGATCTTGGCTCACTGCAACCTCCACCTCCCGGGCTCCAGCGATTCTCCTAACTCAGCCTCCTGAGCAGCTAGGATTACAGGCACCTGCCACCACACCCGGCTAATTTTTGTATTTTTAATAGAGACGGGGTTTCACGATGTTGACCAGGCTGGTCTCAAACTCCTGAACTCAAGTGATCCACCCGCCTTGGCCTCCCAAAGTGCTGGGATTACAGGTGTGAGCCACCACGCCCGGACTGATCTCCTTATTTTAAGGTCTGTAACATTAATTACACCTTCAAAATCTCCTTCGTTATGTAACATAACATAGTCACAATTTTTAGAGATTAAGCATTTATTTGCAGAACCAATACTCTCACTACTATAGACACGACCAAAAGTATGAGATGTTCACAGAGACCACAATGGTTCACACTGGCAATAAGAGAGTGAGATGCCAATTATCAGGAAGAAAGTTAACAAGTGCCCTGGGCAGAGACACTCAACATTATTTATCACTTTCCATTTGAACCTTCCAACTAAAAAAATAAAGATGTTCTCTGTCTTATTTTTTGTTCCTAAAATTATCTTATTTATCCTATTTCTAAAATCCATCCTTGTTAGCTTCGTAATGAACACTGAAACAATTTATGTATAAACAATAATTTCACCAATTTAAGTAGTGCCTCCGGTATTTTGTTATTTTAGAGTCTTGGTTTTAGAAATAATTCGGAATTACACAAAATTGAATTCTTTGTATCACTGTGTGAAAGGTGTGATTGGATTATAAGCAATAAGCTCCCTCCATCCCACCCTCTGTGACTTACAGATTTGCCCTTTAAAATTGACTGAAAATATATGTCTATGAATTATTAATAATTTATGAAAACAAGGCAAAAATATAATAAACAGCAGTGTTCTTCGCCCAATGCACAAGATGAGTTAGCATACAGTGGGGGTTTTCATCACTGTGTGTGAAAAGTGACTAAAAGATATGACTCAAATCTAGTCGTACTGTTTAGGTAAAATATTGTATCTACACAAGCAAATCCAAATGATTAATTGTGCAATTACTACCCCATCTACACCAGTGAGTCTTTGTGGATGTGTTCATAGTCAGTAGAAATAAAATGAGGTGTAAACGTTGCTTTACCTATGTCACATACTGCCATACCTACATGGAGGGAGAAGTAGCAGGATCCCTTCTCACGTATTTTGTGACACAGCTTGGTATGTCAATCAATCACCTTTCTGTTTCCTCTCAAATTCATTCTCTACCATTCCCCTGCTCTCATCTGTGTCTTAAAGACATGTATTTCCCAGGCTTCTTTGTCCTCTGATTTCTAGGTATATCCAGCCAATGAGATGCATTTTAAGAAGATATGAGGGTCAAAGAAGAGAAACCTGAATTTTCTTCCTTTTTCTGTTTTCTATGGAATTTCCTTACAGCTCTGGATTCCATCCAGTAGATTTCCAGCAGGTAGTCCTGGTCCCTGGGCTCGGGCAGTATCATCTCCTTTCTTCTTTGTTAATGTTTAAGACAATAAAAAAGAAAGATGCTAAAAGATTCATTTAAAGATAGGCAAAGGATTTTAACCAGAGCTCAAGTTTGACATTGCTGTCTGCTGCCATTCCAGAATTATTTCAACTGTGCTCTCTTCAGTAATGAAGAAGAGTCTGATGCATCCTGCTGCTCAGAATAGTTCTGATGTTTAGTTTTAGATATTTAATGGCTGTCCTAAGTGTTCTCAATAAGTACGGCATGAAAAGATATGAAAACATAGCATGCTTGGCTTTTTAGTCTATTACCATTTCAAAGGGCTATATCTTAATCAGATGCGTACCAGTGGAGCATAAATTTTTCATCTGCTTCCTTAGAAATAACTAGACTGTCATTTAAAGTCATTTCTATTCACTCATTCTCATCAACAAATGTAAAAATCTATGTTATGATAGGCCAACAAAGGGCGTTTTAGAGGTCTTCAAAATGTCACACCCCTTTCTTCTTACTATAATTAATTTCTCCTTAATAAATTCAGTTAGTTTAAATGGTTTCGTTTTGAAATTATGCATTGGGTACTTTTCACATTTTTATAGAAATTTACATTTAGTTTATGGTATGTGGTATGGAATATCATATGGTCTGTTTAAAATACTACTTATTGGCCTTGGCATGGTGGCTTATGACTGCCATCCCAGCACTTTGGGAAGCCAAGGTAGGAGGATCACTTGAGCCCAGGAGTTCAAGACCAGCCTGAGCAACATAGTGAGACCCTCGTCTCTACAAAAAATAATAATAAAAATTAGCCAGGCATGATCCAACCTGGGAGAGGTAGTGAGACCCTGTCTCAAAAAATAAAATAAGATAAAATATAACTTATAGAGTTGTCTTTACAGATGGACATTTTCATATCACTTTGAATGTACCAAGAGTATTTTTCAGTTTACTGGGGATTGGGAACAATGCAAATTATAGCATGTCAGTTTGGAAATGTGTGTATTCGTCTTTTAAGATGAACTCCAATAATTACATTGAAGATTTCAATTTTGCAAGTGTTGTTGAGGTGTGCACACACACACACACACACACACATTTACAAAAACGGATGTACTAGTTTCCTTTTGCTGCTGTATCAAATCATCATAAACTTAGTGGCTTAAAAAACACAAATGAATAACTATGGAGGTCAGAAGTCTTAAGTGAGTCTTACTGTGCTAAACTCAAAGTGTCGGCAGAACTGTGTAATTCTAATGGAGGCTCTCAGGTAGAATATATTTTCTCACCTTTTTTTCTGCTCCTAGAGTCCGCAGCACTCCTTGGTTTATGGCCCTCCTTCATCTCAAAGCTGGCAATGGCCAGTCAAGCCTTTCTCAAATTGCTTCACTCTGACACTGGCTTTTCTACCCCTCTCTTCTATCTTTTAAAGACACTTGTGATTACATTGGACCTAAGGGATAATCCAGGATAATCTCTTTACTCTAAAATTCAGCTGATTATTCAGCCTTAGTTCCACCTGTAAGCTTAATTTCCCTTTGCCATGTAACATGACTTATGGACAGGGTTGAGGAACTAGAATGTATCAGTCTGTTCTCTCATTGCTATGAAGAAATACCTGAGACTGGGTAATTTATAAGAGATTGAGGCAGGGTGCCGTGGCTCACCCCTGCAATCCCAGCACTTTGGGAGGCTGAGGCAGGCGGATCATGAGGTCAAGAGATCAAGACCATCCTGAACAACATGGTGAAACCCCATCTCTACTAAAAATACAAAAATTAGCCAGGCGTGGTGGCATGCGCCTGTAGTCCCAGCTACTCAGGAGGCTGAGGCAGGAGAATTGCTTGAACCCAGGAGGTGTAGATCACACCATTACACTCCAGCCTGGCGACAGAGCAAGACTCCATCAGAAAAAAAAAAAAAAAGAAAAAGAAAGAAGAAAGAAAGAAAGAAAGAAAGAAAGAAAGAAAGAAAGAAAGAAAGAAAGAAAGAAAGAAAGAAAAGAAAAAGAAAGAAGAAAGAAAAGAAAGAAAAGAAAAGAAAGAAAAGAAAAGAAAAGAAAAGAAAAGAAAAGAAAAGAAAAGAAAAAGTAAAAGAAAAGAGATTGAATTGGCTCATGGTTCCATAGACTGTACAAAAAGCATGATGCAGGCCACCTGGTTGGCTTCAGGGCAGGACTGAGGAAACTTATAGTCATGGCGGAAGGCAAAGAGGAAGCAGGCTCTTCTTAATGGGTGCAGCAGGAGCAACAGCGAGAGAGTGGGGGAGGAGATACACACTTTTAAACAAGCAGATCTCATGAGAACTTACTTATCATCAGGACACAGTACCAAGAGGGAAATTTGCCTGTGATTCAATCACTGCCCACGAGGCACCTCCTCTAGCATTGGGGATTACATTTCAACATGAGATTTTGGTAGGGATGTATATCCAAACTCTATCAACATGGTTATATATTATTTTTGAGGAGAGTGTATGGAGGGGGGGGTATTAATTCTTTCATCCACAAAGGGAAACTGTCAACTGCCCTCAGAGCAGCTCAAGATTTTTCAGAATAGTTTTCAAAATTCTTACTCAATTTAAGGTAAACCACTTTATAGTTTATGTTAGTATTTGTCTGCAAAATAATTATCTCTGATTTTATTTTATTTTATTTTTTATTTCACCTCTCCTTTCCTATCCCACGAATCTTTCTTAATATATTTATTTAAGGTGCAGCCTACCAATACACCCTTTACATATATGTCGATCTGCAAATAACATTTTATTATTATGTATGTGTTTATACATTTAAACACTGACCATGTTTGAGAGATTTATCCACATTGTTTTGTGAAGCTCAAATTAATGTCTTCTCACCCCATACGTTATTCCATCATACATCATATTTTACCAATTTAAGGCAGGATAGGTAATCAATGAAGTGACCCTCTTCTTGGGACACAGCACCTGTGGTGACTGTACAGTCAACACAATAAACCACAGCATTCGCATTGTAATTGAGCACATCCAAGCAAAGCTATCTTCAGTAGGGACTTTCCCCTTTAGAGAGCGTGCGCAATTTGATTTAACTTGTCCTCAGATTGACCTTTTGCTCATTTTAATAGTAAAGAACACACCCCTGGGTAGAGATTTAAGATGCTAATGAGACATGCGACATATGAACAAGCACGTACAACTACTGCACACGTGCACCTAGCTTTCTAGTAACATCTTCCCACCTCCTTATGAATAACCATGTAAGACTCCCATAAAGGGAGTCTCCCTTGTGCCAGTCTGTGCTGTCTCATCCTTAAGAGCAGCCAGCCCTGAATCCTCTCTCTCTCTGGGTATACTGTTTATTCTGCACTTAACTTCTAAAATATTCTTTTTCTTTTGCAACAAATTACTCTTTTTTGTAATAAAATACTTTTTATTTTGCAATAAACTACGCTAAAAACAAACAGCTACATTTCCTTTGTTGTGCATCTCTTGTTGAAATTCTAACTAAAAAGACAAAAACTGAGGTATCACATCAGCCGTCAACAATCCTTTATTCGTAGTAGGTATTGATCTCGCTTGCCTATGATCACCTTCCTGATACATATGTCTTAATGCATCTGTGTGAAAGTGTTTCTATGGTAAACATCCAGGCTATAGACATAATTAATTCACTAAATACTATTATATTAACTTTTAAAATGGCTACACAAATGAATATTCCTATCTGTAGAGTATGAAGATTTCTATTTCTTTTTTATTTTGATAGAGTCTTTACGAGAACAACTAAATAATAAGCTGAAATTAACTACAGAAAAAGAGATTGAAGGTTAATTTTATTGTAGAGCAGCCATAGGATATTTTTACATGCAACCTTATGAATATGTACATAGGATACTCATCTTAACTTATTAGTTCCTTCCCAGTGCCTTCCTGGCAATATCTACTGAGGCAAAAAGAACCAGTTCTCTGTTCTTCTTTTCTGGATTCCTCTTATCTCTGGTCCTACTGGTTCTCTTTTGGACTTCACACACAGTTCTTGGCATGAGTCTGCTTTAGAATCTTTGATGCATTTGTATCCAGGTGTCATCATCACCTGTCACAGATCTTGTTAAGGCAATAGTTTAAATTTCAGTTCAAATCTTTATTCCTCAAGGTTAATAAACATTTGTTTCTTTTCTATGTTTTTCTAATTTCATGTTCTCATTCCTTTATTACACCAAAAGGTGCTTTTTCTAATCTGAGTGTTCTCTCCTTTGCTTATGTTCTGTCTTTGACTCTGTCTTTTTTTTTTTTATCTCTGCAGTTGTTTCTCAGAGCTTTCTTCTGCCTGTCAACAATATAGGGAACATTTATGCTCCTTTTGGACTCAGTTTCTGAAAATGGAATTCCTCACAGTGACTCAGCATGATGCTTCTTCAGTACGGCTATTAAACACCTCATCCTGCAGACTCCAATATGTCAGCTTTTAGAATGCATTTCCCATAAATGTACATACTACAGAAAAAGTAGATACTGATACAGTATTATGGAAGACCTCAATTGCATGTTCAGTCTGCTTTCATTTGTAGTAAGCTCTGTGCTAATCTATTCATATTTATAATACCAACTTTTGCCGAAGTTCAAAAGAATATTAACCACTGGAAATGAATTTTAAAAACATAAAGCAACATTTTTTTAAAAAAACCTTACCTTTGTCCATCTGCTTTGTTGAATTCTTTCTTAGTTTTTGCTTTTTGATGTCTTCACTATATGTATAGGTAAAGACACAACATATATGTAGAGATTACAGTTGGCTCCATGATAATTGCAAGAATGGCCACCTTCCTTTATTCTTCTAAGTAAACAGAAATCACTAATTGCAAAGGTTAAAGAGAATGCTACTATCCTTTGTTTTTTAGGGATTCCCTTTCTTCTCTCCACATAAGTCACATAAGAGGGCTTATGGCTCATGTGTTTATTGTTAAAGGAAAACCTCACTGGACAGGATGAGCAAACAAAACTTGATGTTATTCCCTTACTATTGCTGGAAATAGGGGAGAAAGCACAAACCAAGTCTAGATGCTAAGTTCCCCTGAAATAAAGGACAGGAGAGATTTTAGCAGCTAGAGCAGGGGTGGGGTCTTAGATCATCTGTGTTTGTTAATTGGTTTTATCTTAAAGAGGCTAATTTTCTCCTATCTTTGTGACAAGCAGTAGTCTTACAACTTGCAGTGGGGCTCTCGCTAAAGCTAGGCTCCCACCTTATGTATTAGGTCATTCTAGCATGGCCTTAAAGAAACACCTGAGACCGAGTAATTCATAAAGAAAAGAGGTTTAATTGGTTTATACTTAGTTATGCAAGCTGTACAGGAAGCATGGCGCTGGCATCTGCTTGGCTTCTGGGGAGGCTTCGGGAAGCTTCTAATCATGGCAGAAGGCAAAGGGTGAGCAAGCATCTCACATGGAGAAGACTGGAGAAAGAGAGGAAGGGAGGTACCACACACTTCGAAACAGCCAGATCTCATGAGAACTCATTCACTGTAGTGAGGACGCCACCGAGGGTATGATGCTGAGCCATTCATGAGAAATCCACCCCGTGGTCCAGTCACCTCCCTCTCCCAAAATTGGGGATTGCAATTAAGTGTGAGATATGGGCAGGGACAAATATACAAACTATATCACCTTCTCACAGAGACTGGGAGAGAAGGGCGTCATCAATCTTGATGATTACATTGAAAAAGGATGACTCCAAGGTGCTTAAGAAAGACAGTCCTGGGTTGCAAAACTGGCAAAAGGCTTCTAAAAATGTACATCTCAAAGGGGCAGAAAACGAATTTACAATGGCAAGTGCCTAAAGTAAATGCTCTAAGAAAAGTCAGGGAGAGACCGCTGGAGCTAGGGCAACTGGATTATGTAAGTGCAGGGTGAGAGGGAGGACAGTTCCTAGAAGTAGGGAGAAGCCCCTCTGGGGTGTAGTCAAGCTGAGAACATGAAGGTTATCTTGATCAGTAGCCGTAAGGAACTATTCTCTGTGTGCTTGCCCCTCTGCTATTTTTTCAGCAGTCTTTTCTGCTGCTGGAAAAAATTGGGCCCTCCCTCTCTGCTATGGTCTAAATGTTTGTGTTCCCCAAAGTGTATATGTTGAAACTGAATACGCAATGTGTTGGTATTAAGGGGCAGGATCTTTTGGAAGTGACCAGGTCATGAGGGTGGAGCCCTTGTGAATGAGATTAGTGCCCTTATAAAAGAAGTCTGAAGCAGCTCCCCAGCCCCTTCCACCATGTGAGCATGCATAGAAGGTGCCATCTAGGAGGAATGGACTCTCACAAGACACTGAATCTGCTGGTGCTTTGATGTTGGACTTCCCAGTCTCCAGAACTGTGAGCAATACATTTCTCACAGTTTATTTCTCTTGCTTCTCTCAAGAGCAGCCTTAGGTATTTTGATATAACAGTCTAAGGTATTTTGATACAACAACAAAAATAGAGTACTTTCTTTTCCCAGCACCCTGCCCTTGCTGAGAAAGTCCTGACTTCCTGGACATCTGAGAGGTTCAGAGGCCTGTTTCCCTGACAGTCATCCTCTAAGCTCATGCCAGATCCTACCAGAATTTTGAGTCGCCCAGGGACTCAACAGCTCATCTGACCCTGTGAAGTAGGATGGAGAATTAATCTTTCATTTATTGGCTGATAAATGTACAGTAGCACATACAGGGTATCACCAATGAATTCCTTAAATGTTCTCTTGTTACAGAACTTAACGTATTTGTGAAAGCCTGGAAGGCAAGTGCTTGTACTTACAATCTCCCTAGAGTTCACCAGACTCTCTAAAGAATGCATTTCTGAGAGGCAGCAGGAATTCTTAGCCTGTCCTGGTTCTCCCTCCAAGTCACATTTCCCTGTCCTCCCCCCACAGTGAGCCACACACTTTCCTGATTTAGGCAGATTATGGTCACTTCATTTCCAGACTCCCAGGAATTTGCTGGGTGACAGACGCTGGCTGTTCCTCTGAAGAGCAGCCTTAAAAAGCAAGATGTGCCCAGGAACTGTTTCTAGTGCTGCTGTGGATAAAATGTAACCCCTTCCCTGGGAGTTGCTATCTTGCATTGCCACTGCTGGGTTATTTGCTCTCCTGTTCAGGAAGGCCATGCACTTGATCCGCTGGGTGTTCAGTCTCCCTTCTGGTCTTAGACTTTTAAAGGTTCCTTAGTTTACATTTAATAACAAATCTCAATTCACATTAATTCATGTTCGTGTTCTTACCATAAATAGACAGCAACAGCAACCCCTGCCAAGTCAAAAAAACAAGAAACACACTCAGGAGAACATAAGGAAATTTTTGGAGGCGACAAATATGTTCAGCAACATGGTTATGGTGATGGTTTCATAGGTCCATGCTTATATCATTAAAATGTATACATAGAGTATGTGCAACTTTTTATATATGAATTATACATCAATAAAGCTTTAAAAGCAATCAGACCATTCCATTATCAAGAAGGTGGAGGGAGAAGAGGGATGAGTAACCTGGCTGTCATGGAGCTATACAAAAAAAATGCCTGCATTGGAACCAATAAGCCACATACCATCCGAAGGGAAGCAATTGTTTTTCTGAAGACAGATTTTTACAGATTACATTCCTTTCTGGTTGAATCACAACACTGTCATTTTTTTATGAAAACATCCCCACCTTATTTTTAAGCAGAAAAACAAATTTAAAGCAGATAAAAAGCTCAAGCACAACATTTTTGAATTAAAATTTGAAGACACTATTTTGGATAGAAAGCAAGTGAAAAAATTTGCTTTTAAATTCTTTCCACCAGGCACAGTCTAGTCAACATGTTTGTCCCTTTTACAGACTTCAAATTGCACAATATTTTTAGGGCTGCTGGAGGCTAAAAGGAGAAAGGACAAATTTATCCCACCAGTTAATGATAATTTTGATTACCTTGATCTCCTACATTATGTGCTGTGCATGCTAAATAGTTTTGTTATTGCTGAAGTTAATGGTCAGGAAAACAAGAGTCCATAACCAATATTAAGTTTATCTCCTAATGAAGGCAAATAGTTCAAATTAGTTTGATGGTAGAATGAACAAATGTATTTTAAAAAGTATTTTAATTATAAAACACTAAATATATATTATACTTATTAACTCAGTTTCTTTATTTAAATGCAGGCTTAATTGCTGAATTTGTATGACCCTGAGTTTGAAATGCAGGGACCAGACCTTGAAGTTTGTTAATTAATATTAGAGCTCAATTAAACTCCTAATATATTTAATCTGGTGGTAATAATGGAATCAAGGTGAAAGAGGGTGATACACCAAAATGTCTGTAATCAAAGTGGATTAGAAGGTGTCACTAGAGTTAGCAGCTTTAGATAAAAGTTGATAATGGCCTTGGATTTCAGTCTGAAAATGTCGCTGGTCAGCATGGTATCACAGGTCAGCATGCTAGCACAGGACAGCGCTGTGGCCTGGTGACAGCTCTCCAGAAAGCCTAATCAGGTTCTCAACATTTAATTGCATTGAGGCAGGTACACATGAAAATAGTGGTGAAAGGAATAGCAGGGAAGTGGGTATCTGGAAATGCCACAGCAGAGCTTGCACAGGGCAGCAAAGTGGAGTCACAAACCCCTGGATGATTTGCATTTGCTGAAGATCAACAAGGATGCTTTGATATAAAGCCTCAATGGTAACTTTTTTTTTAAATATATACGGTCGTGCCTTCAATGGTAATTTAAACATCATGTTTTTTGGGTCATCTTCTGATTAAAGAGTAATATATGTTTATTATTGGAAATGTGGAAAATACACAAAACATATTTATTTTGTTTAATTTAAAAATTAAATCATAACTGAGACCTGAAGCACTATTAAGGTTTGGGGTTTTATGTTGAACCCTTTTTTCCTTAGTTCATCTCCATCTGTACCTTACCTCTGATATAAATTTCTCTATACGATGGGGACAAAAAACAAACAAAAAAACCTCCCCAGCTGGAGAGAAGTCCTCAGTCAACACTGCAGGTTCAACTTTCTCCACAGCCCTCTAGGCCATGTGCTTCTTTCCTATACCTTTTTCTCTTTGCTTCACAGGGCCACTTCCAAACCATATCCTCTCCCTTTCTTAAAACTCATAACCTCATGTTATGAGGCTTACCAGGCACCTTCTCTCCTTATCACAATCTCTCTTAACTCAAGATCACTCCCCTGATTCTCTGAAGATTTAGTTCCTGTCTCACTGTCATTCTTCCAAATCCAAGCCTGTTCTTGGTGATTTCAATAGTTAGGAAATATGTCCTCCTTGGCCTCCTCTCCTTTAAGGAGCTAATACTTTTCACTTCTCAATATCTTATTTCCATAATTATACCTTGGAAACCTTGTCTTGCCTATAGCTTTATCCCATACTATGATCATCCCCTCCATTTTTCCCCATTCTATCCCTCTGATACCTCAATGTCAGCAATTCCTAGCTCCCCAGTGGGCCCTACAAGTCTTTAAGCCTTTCACTGTTTCACCATCCCTCATCCCTATCATATCTTACTCCTTACTCAGCTAAAATTCTATCCATCTATCCATTCATTCATTTGCTCATTTCTTCAACAAATATCATTGCTTTATTAAGTAGCCATGTAGAGCAAAGACAGAATGTAGAAGGGAAACTAGTGTAAAGAACTATGTCAAAGAAAGACAAATATCTCTACTCTGATTGAGCTTACATTCAACATAAACAATTAACAAGATAAATAAGACAAGTAAATTAAACTGATGCTCAGGTGGTGAGGCTAATGGAAAGAATAAAGCAGACATGGGATGTCAGATGGAGTGGATTTTCTATAAAGTGGCCAGGAAAGGCCACAGCAGCACGTAACATTTGTGTGACAACTTGAAGAAAGAGGACAAGGAGGAGGCTAGAGAGATCCAGGCAAAGGGAAGAGTGAGTGCAAAGACTCTGAGCTGGGAGTAGTCCTGGAGGCCAGTGTGTCTGCAGTGAACTGGGCAAGAGGGAGAAAGGAACAGCTGGAAATTGGGTCGTACTGGACATGAGGTAGGGGTAGGGCTGGAAGTGATGCAGAGTCAAGTTTTCAAATGAACACTTTGAATTCATACTCAGCTCCCTTTCTTCCCATCCTGCTCGACTCACCCATAGCCCTGGTTAGATACAACTCTTTGTCTACACTGTATGCAGTTGTGCAGCCAAACTCTACTAGAACAGTGTGCTCCACCATAGAGGCTGGGATCACTTGAATTTCATGGTAACTCACCTCGAGTGAGCTCTTCATGTAGTCAACCATTCCCTTTCTCTCCCCACACAGCACCACGTGCCACACCACACAAACACACATATTTACCACACACCACACATGAACATACTATCTACCACACACACACATGCAAACACATACACCACACCACACAGAGATACACTCGCACCAATCAGTCCAAATCAGACGCTATTCAATACCTTCTCTAACTTTCCTTAGCCAAACATTTCTTCTCAAACAGAAAAAGGTAAATTCTGGGTCCAAGGGCATGTGGGCAAGTTGACATGGTGGCAGCTACTTGTGGAGGTTTCTGTCTGATGTCTTCACTGTATTCAATCAACTAAAAGGCAAGGCTGTCATCTGAGAACAAAAATGGGAAAGGAGAAGAGAAAGGTGAAGAAGAACAGCACTAGAAGTTACATTGCTCTAACTTTTAAAATCACTATGAGCACAATAATTTCTCGTTCCTCTTCTACAGGAAAAGAGCATACCTGCTTACTAGAAAGCGCCTAGCTTTAGAAATGAAATGCCCCTTAGTCCCAGGGACATAAGAAGAAAATAACCACATTCCACTGATTCAGGTTGAGTCACTTCCTCAGTAAGAGATGGTGTGATGAGAGATCGTTCATGGAGGTGGGCCGCAGATGCAAAAATCTGTGGACTTTTGATTCAGTCCTGACAGAATTTTAATCTTGGCCCTCTCACTTCAAACTGAGTAATAAATCTCATAACCCCTCTGAGACTCAAGATTCTCATCTGAAAAATGGGGATAATCTTGGATTGTTTTTGTAAGGACTAAGTGACTAACACATGTAAATATGTTACCGTAGTTCGGCACACAGAGGAAACGTGATAAATGGAGCTTAGCAGGAACATATTCCTCTTGGTACATACACAGCATGACATTTTAAAAACACCAACCGAATTGTCTATATAATACAGTTTCTGCTTCAAGGTTCCATATGCCTCATGGCAGAAAATGTAGCTTTTATCAACTCAGGGTAAACCTCAATTTTGGGAGCAATGGATTTCCCTATCCACTTTCTCCCTGGAGTGATGGCTTAATTTGATAGGCTTAGGTAGTAGCATCACAGCAGTGGGGAAGAAGCCCCTAACCTGTCCACACCGGCAGGATCTGAAGTGCATCAGCTTCTGGCCTGGTCCACATGCACAGATATTTCTTCACACTAGCATCTGCTGGGCTCTCTGCCCACCTGTCCATTCTCCAGTCAGATGGTCCATCCTTTTCTGCTCTGAGGAATTCTTGAGCCAAGAATCTAGGTGTTTTCTTAATGCTTCTTCCTTTCCCTATAAATCTATCACTACACCCACTCAACTGCCTTCAAAGCAATACTGCAAATGCATCTACTTTTATACACTTCCCCGCGCACCACCCTAATAATACAAGTCATTATCACCTCCTTGAATTTCTACAGCATCCTCCCGCTTGGCTGTGCTGATTTCATTATCCTTGTGTAACTTTCCAGTTCACCACTGTGCAGTCTCAGTAATCTTTAAAAAGCATAAATTAAGTACATTATTCTCCTGCTTAAAAATCTCCTGATTTCATCTCATTTCATCTAGTATCTAATATTCTTTCCCTGGTGTAGACAACCTTATGTGACCTGGATCCTGCATAATCTGACTTCATTAAGTATCAATCAACCTATCATGCACATTTGCTCTCTTGTTCTTAATACACTAAGCTTTTCCATAATGCATGTACCCTGCATTAGCAGTCTCTGAGTGGAAGGTCCTCACTTTGATCTTTCCAAGGCTGCACTTTCAGCCAATTTCTTCATTCAGCTTTAGCCTAAATGCCACTTCAGAGAGGCTGTTCTTCACTATCCAATCTAAGGTAGCTGCTCTCATCATTTTCTATCACTTCTGAATATTTTACTACTCTGTAAACATATTTTCTCACTGATTGATGTTCATCTATTTAGTGTCAGTCTCACTATACAATGTATATAGCATATAATATATGCTATAGTTTAGTGCAGGGACATTTTCAGTTTCATTATTAAATTTCCACCATTTAAATGGTGCTTCTGAGACTTAAGTGTTTAATAAACATGTGGTGGAAGAATGAATGGAATTCTTTTCTTGATAAGCAACAGGAAATTAATCAAGCACACATAACATATATGTGAAATATTTGTCCATTTGATTGGCTACAATTGATAAAAATAATTTACAGAGTCATTGTCAATTTGGCAAAGGCAAGTAGAAATATTTTCTTGTTCTAATATTCATTTCTTTTATTAGTTGTCTAATTTTGTCTGTATTTTTATAGATATTTGTTTTCACTCCTTTGTGAATTACCCACTTTTCCCTTTCACAATTCTTCTATCGGGAAGCTAATAATTTTTAATTATAAGTTTAAACCTATAGCTAATTTCCTATGTTTGTAAATGTTTTTTCACTCTTATCTTTTCTTAATTGTTACGATATTTGGCATAAAATTTTGAGATGTTTAGAAATTTTTTAAAAATTGTCTTTGCTCCACAATATTAGTTTATTCCTTAACCAAATATCTATTGACCAGCTTTTGTATGTCAGGCATTTTAGTTAGTGAAGCAAGCAATAAAAATTCTAATAGTAATAATAGCTATAACGAAAAACAGATAAAAGGAAAAGAGGCTGACTTGGTCATAGTGGTGTGGGGGAATTGGGTAGTAAGCAGAAGTGCTGAAGAGTTGACATTTGAATTAAAGATAAGAATGAGGCAGCCATGGCCAGGTGTGGTGGCTCACACCTGTAATCCCAGCACTTTGGGAGGGTGAAGTGGGTGGATAGCTTGTATCCAGGACTTTGAGCCCAGTCTGGGCAACATAGCAAGACCCCATCTCTGCAAAAAATTAAAAATTACCCAGGCATGGTGGCACATGCCTGTAGTCCCAGCTACTCGGGAGGCTGAGGTAGGAAGATTGCTGCTTCAGCCGGGGAGGTGGAGACTGCAGTGAGCCGTGATTGTGACACTGCTCTTGCAACAGAGTTAGACCCTGTCTCAAAAAAGAAAAAAGGAAAAGAATGAGGCAGCCATGTGCATTGGCATGGCATTCTGGGAAAACAGAAAAGCAAATTTATGCATAAAATGCTTGGCAAATTTGAGTAATAAGAAGACTAATGTGTGTGACTGGTTGTGAAACAATATTTACTAATTATTCTAGGATTATTTACTATATAATTCATCTTTTTTTAAACTCATTTGACAACTTTATTATCAGCTAAATTGTTATATGTGCTTGGGTGCACTTTTGGACTTTGTTTTCTGTTTCAATTTTCTGTCTATTCAAACACCAATAATTATCTTTCACTTGTAAAATTTTAATATTTTTATTATCTGTGAAAATTCTTATTGATATTTTACAAAATTTTCTCAGTTATTCATCTTAATTTATTTTTCAAGTTAAATTTTCAAATCATCTTGTAGTTTGTCAAAAAGTACTTCATCGTATTTTTAAATAGTGTTGCTTTATCAGTGTAAGTTACCTCTGAAAAAGCCACATATTTGCAATGTTTTTCTTTCCATAAGAAATCTGGTTTGTTTCTTCTTCAAGTCTTTTTAAATGTCCCTCCAAAATACTTAGTCCAGTACACATAGGTCCTCCACACTTAATTTGTATTCATTATTTTTTTCTCATTCCCAGCTTTTTGAGGTTAATATTATGTAATAAAACAGCTTTATACAAAAACCACTCTTGGATATCAAAAGAGACAAACTAAAGAGATCTCTTCAGTATGGCATTTTATAAAGTCTTAGCATGTGAAGTGGCTCTAAGACAAAGTACGTTTGTGTTGTTATAAAACATTACCATAAAAAAGCCACTCTGTGCATTGTGAACACTGAAAATCTGACACTTGTCTCAGTTAATTTAGAAAGTTTATTGTGCCAAGGTTGTGGACGCATACCCATGACACAGCCTCAGGAGGTCCTGATGACATGTGCCCAAAGTGGTCAGAACACAGCTTGGTTTTATACATTTTAGGGAGATATGAGACATCAATTAACATAGGTAAAATGAACATTGGTTCTGTCCAGAAAGCTAGAACAACTTGAAGCAAAAGCAGGACAACTTGAAGCAGACAGGGGCTTCCAGGTCACAGGTAGGTAAGAGACAAATGGTTGCATTCTTTTGAGTTTCTTATTAGCCTTTCCAAAGGAGGCAATCAGATATGCATTTATCTCAAAAGAGGGATGACTTTGAATAGAATGGGAGGCAGGTTTGCCCTAACAGTTCCCAGCTTGAATTTTCTCTTTAGCTTAGTGATTCTGGGGGACCAAGATATTTTCCTTTCACATTTCTCCCCTTTTCTTTTTAAAAATATTTCGGAGAAAGCATTTTAGAAGAAAACAAATCTCTGGTCCCAGGTTTTGTCTGCTCTCTCATGGCTAGGATGCTTTATTCCTAGACAGGTAGGTCCCAAGTTATTAGGAAATCTTATTTTTAAAAAGGTTGTGAAGTCTCACATCCAGTGAAGAGAAAATAGCGGGAGGAAGAAAGAAAAACACAATAAACAAAAGAACAATCCTGGAAAATTGATATAGGCCCCATTACTCTGAAGTCCATACATTAGTAGGCAGGTATGAAAGTGGCTTATTTATGTAAATAGGTTGCTGTTATATTCTGAAGTTTCAGTTGTCTTGCTTCAGCTCACAGGGCTTTATGAAGGCACAGCATAGTTTTCAGCGACTCTAAATAAGAAAAAAAAAAATGAGAAAAAAGAAGGAAAAGAATTGAAAACATTATTTTTAAGGCTTGTAGCCAAGAAAAATTAGAATCAGGTCCAAACAGTAGAACATAATAAAAATTAAAAAGCATTAGGCAAGACTGGAATCTAACAACAAGTGTACTATATAGTTTTGGAAACATTTTTTCTCTCTCCAGAGTCCCATTTTTACTAAAGAAAAATCATGGTAGGACTGGTTTGTTTTATTACACTTGGCCTAATTATTTGTATACAGTAAAGCAAGAATAGTTATATATCTACATAGGCTTTTAAGTTGGCTTTGATGAAACTTTGTTCCATAGAACGAATCTCAGATAAGACTTTTTTAAAGCCTAACCCAGCCATGAATTTGTGCCATCAAATACGTATGAGTTGGGTGATCCTCTCCTCTTGAGGTTCCAAGATAAACTTGAGGCTCCTGGGCCTCTCAGAAAGTGACATTCTTTACCTACCAGAGGTCAGGAGCCCTGTACAGGGGCTGTGTAGACAAAGGTAGGAGGCTAGTTTTTTAAGGGGCTTTTATTGACTTCTTAAGTCAAGTTTGATTCCTTAAAGGAAAGCACACCATTCCAGTCAAAGCCTTGGCAAAATAGCCAGCTTCTCCAGTTGTGTCCTGTAATAAATGAAAAGAGATTCTTATGCACTTATGTAAATAACTGTATTGTCATAAGTTAAGAATACTCACAAATAGTTTCCAAATTCTGGAGAAATCAGGTAGAGAGAAATACATATGCTCTAAAATTTGTTTATAGGAGTATACTTTACTCAATTGTTAAAAGGTGTAAATAGCTTAAAAGAAAAGTCTTCTTGACTCCGAAAAACAAAACAAAGGATCGCAATTTTTTAAGCTAAAAGTTAAAAAGATTACTTTAGTCTTCTATTAGTTCAGTTCATGCAGTTAACTCCTGTTTTGCTTGACATTCATGAACATTTTAGCTCTCCGCGAGAGTCGTGAATGTTTTTTTCTCTATTCTAATATCACAATCTCCAAAGTTATCAGAAACCTGCATTTAAGAACACCTGTTAGAGTTCCATATTAGATTACAAAACCACCTTCTATGGAGGACTAAAACAAGACAACGATTGTCTGTGGATGACAAAATGTTTGAGGACAGCCATAGTCAAATACCCAATTAACAAGAAAATTGGTTACCTCTGTGATACACAATAATTAAACAATTATAATTATTACTGATAATGTACACTAAGTCATATCAGAATTATAGGAGTTGCCCATGATTTTGGAACATGTACCAATAATGTATTTACACAAATACAGCCTAAAGAAAACCAAACACCATTTCATATGTGACAATGTTTCCTGTATAATTTTTATACCAAGTAAGCCAAATTATGTCATTTTTGGACTTTAGGGAACCTAATATCTTAAAGGATTAATTAGATAAGAAAAAGACATAATTTGTAATTTGATTTTGGAAACTTTGTCAAATATCAAAGTTTTAAAACACTTGATATCACAGGTCATTGTAAAATAAGTCATTCATTTGACCAAAGTGATAGCTCAAGGATTTTAGAAGAAAAGGTGAAAAACCTTCATTTTTTTGCGAGAGAAGACTTAATTTTCCAATCAATAAGCTCTAATAAAAACAGTATAAAGACAATTAAATTTGTTTTTCAAAATTTTGTATATATTCTATAAATTTTTATCTAGACCATAAAATATAACTTTCATAAGCTTTTCATAACCCTTATAGCCTTTTTTTAAGGGTCAGTTAATGCTTCAAGAAAACCTTGTTAATCTGACACAGGTCCCTACGCTGGTCTTGCATGAATGTACCTTTGACATTAATGATTAATTTATAGAGAAACTGAACTTATTTTATCTCTCAAAATCAGCCCTTATAATCTCACACACCCACCTCTTCCATGCTAGTCCCTGGGCCTTGGGGAGTTGAATAGCTTTAATTTCTGGCCCTGTGTTTCAGGAATGCAGTTTATTTTGATAGGCATCTTCTACTTGGCCTAAAGATGGGGTTTTAATTGCTGTCATTGTTTAACATTTAGCAGGACTTGGTGTTCTTTTTAGACCCAGGAGTCAAAACCCTGTAACTTAATGTAATAAGTACTTTTAAAGTGCATACAGAGAGATACATGGATGTAATAACTTTAATTTAAAAAATAAAATTTTAATCTCAGTTTTTTTCTAAGCAAAACAAAGCTTAATAAAAATATGAAAACTTGATCATAAAATAGTTTTTGTTTTTTTAATGAATCCTCTTATTGTGACTTACACAGACCATTCATGACATGCTTGGACTTTCTGTTTTTTCCTGAAATCCTCCTTTCTTAAACAACCAGTCATTTTATTCTAGGACTAAATTTACCAAATAAGATTTTTTTCTCATATGAAATTATTTCTCTTTAAGCTTTTGTTGTTATAACATTCTTTATATCTGTATTAGTATGTTTTCATACTATTGATCAAGATGTACCTGAGACTAGGTGATTTATAGAGAAAAAGAGTTTTAATGGACCCACCATCCCACGTAGCTGGGGAGGCCTCCCAGTCATGGCCCCCACAACATTTCTTTTATTTCCTTGTTCCTTTTACCTTGTTTTATACATGACCTTTGAATAAACCTTGAAATAGAAAAAAATCTTTCACCTTTTTTAAAAGGACACACTTTTTTTAAGAAAAAATGTTTTCTTACAAATGTATTTTTATTGGAAATATACCCAAATAATGAAATATCTATTATTTAATTTAATATAACTTTAGATTCTAAATTATGAAGAGTTTGTCTACAAGTATTCATCCTATACACTTACCTAATTATTTTGTTTTAATCATTTACTTAGATTATTTATGAAAACTGAGATAGTCATCTTTTAAAGTTATGAAACCACCATTGCAAAATTATAACTGAGACAGTGAAAAAGATTTGACTTAACTGACTTCAATCTTGCGTTTAAGCTCCAAGCTGCCCTTGTTCATTCCTGGGCATAGGCTGAACTAACTTTGAGAACAACTTAGTTTATAGTTTAGTTTTGAAACAAAGACATTAACAAATCTTACTGCCTGTGGGCTAGATCACCTAAAGTCACAAGATTAGAAGTTATGATAATCTTACTAAATTTAAGATGCAGCTATTTTTATTAAACTAATATCAATGTCCTATTTGTTAAAGATTACACAAGCAAAGATCATTCTGCTTTGGGCTAGATTTATAGTTTTGTAAACCCTGTGCCCAGTTTTGACACCTTATAGCATTTGGAAGGGATAAGTGTAAAATTTCTTGATTAATGAATGCAAACAAAAATGTATGCTGGCAAATTCTTAAGACATTTCTAATGTTATTTTAGTAATAATTTTAAAGCCAGCTTATTTATTAAAGATTTTAAGTCACATGAGCTTGAAAAAGCATTTGACTAGTTTTTTCTCTTTAGTAGTATCTGATTTAAGCACTTTTATTTATTTTTTAAGCCAACTAGTTAGAGCTCTTTTATGTACTTTTTAATAGTGAAACATTGTGTACACAACACATAAATATGTAGATGTAGGCCTGTCAATAAAAGTGTATCTTATAGATTAATAAAGACCTTCTTTTTTTCCTTCTTTTTTTTTTCTTTTTTTTTTTTTGAGATGGAGTCTCACTTTCTCACCCAGGCTGCAGTACAATGCTTGCAATCTTGGCTCATGGCAACCTCCACCTCCTGGGTTCAAACAATTCTCTTATCTCAGCCTCCTGAGTAGCTGGGATTACAGGCATGTGCCACTACACCTGGGTAATTTTTGTATTTTTAATAGAGTTGGGGTTTCACCATGTTGGCCGGGCTGGTCTCAAACTCCTGACCTCAAGCAATCCACCCACCTCGGCCTCCCAAAGTGCTGTCATTACAGACATGAGCCACCATGCCCAGCCTTCTTCTTTTTAAGTCTTACCCTAGGCAGTTGTCAGCTAAATTTTCAATTGAACATAAAAGTTTAGAAGTTTATTATAAAGGCCTTCAAATATATACACACATGCATGTACATACACACATACACACACCAAGGTTCTATAGCTTTTACTTCAGTACTTTAGCCATGATATAAATACAAATTTGCTGGCTTGCAAACAAACAAAAAATGGTTACATCCAAACAGTGGTTTTTATCTCAGTAGAAAACTAACAGCAGATACAAAGCAGGCAAAAAAGAAAATAGAAAAACAGGGACTCTGGGAACTCTAGAGTTTGCAGGTCGACCTTAGGGCTCTTTCTCCTTAATGTAAATGTGCATGAAGACCATATGACTCCCGTTTTACTCTGGCAAGTAGAGGTGCCTTAAAACCTTTGGAGTGGCTCAAAAAGGGGTCATTCTCCTTGTTTTCTCCACATTCTTAGTTTATTTGTTTCCTGCTTTTGTTTTGTTTTGTTTTGTTTTGTTTTGTTTTGTTCATAAAGGAGGAACTGAGCTGTGGCCTAGGGTTTTTGTGTGGTGGATTGATGTGTGCTGCTTGTGGGCAGGACTCCACAGTCTGTCACCACTGAGTTGTTCCCACCCTCTTATGTGTGTCATTTCTCTCTCCAGAGGCCTATGACCTCTGAGAGGGCTCAAAACACTGGGTGATCAGCCCTTGCATGCGTTTTCTGGATGAGCCATTTTTTAAATTAATTTTTGTTGATGATTTATCTGCAGGGCCACTGCATGTTGTTGGGGGTCAATGCCCCAAACACTCCCACAAGGCCCCTGTTCACCCAGGGGCACCTTTCAGCTGGTAGGAGCAGATGTCCTTTCCCTTCAGAGATGAGAAAACTCAGTCTCTCATTTACCTATGAAAACAACAGTTCAGTTCCTCACGCAAATGTGCACAGACAAACTGAATTGAGATCAATTTTGGGAAAAAAAGCAATACAGAAGACTCTTTAGAATGTGTCTCTGAACTAAAATTTGGATCCTTAAACAACAACTTCCTAAAAGAGAAAAAAAGAAAAAAAAATAGCCTAGACCACTTCTTGTAAATTGCACTAGGCCACTCATAACTTTGTAGCTCTCATCCGCCATTATACACACCAAGGTCAAATCCTCTCACAGCGCAAGGACATCTCTGGTACCCCCAAAGCCAAAAAGATCAGGTCATGCAACACAAGAAAACAGAGCTTTATACCTAAGAAGATTCTGTCCATGGCTCTTGGAACTCCACAAAGAAACATCCAAAATAGGAGAGTGGTGCCCTTCTGAATTCTTTAAAGGGGTTCAAGTCATTAGACACCTTCTCTAGATATTTTTTTGGTACTGCAGATGGCAAAGGGAGAAGGAGATATAGGGTGGAAGAAAAGTAAATTAAAGAACTTTTTGTTTTTAATACAGGAAGCAAACACAGAAACCAAGCACATGGTTTTTTGATATTTTTCTTTCGGTTTCTTCTTTTGCAGCTATGAGGAATTTTGGCCAGTTTAGAGAGGTTTTGGTACCTTAATTTAGAATTCTCACTCAGATTTGACTAAGTCAGGTAGAGTTGGTCAAATCTGATGGGAGAAAGACAAAACACACAAGAATGACAAAAACCCCAACAACATGATCACTGAGCACTCCAGTGGTAAAGAGAAATTAGGACCATCTGGTTGTTAAGTGTTAGCCAAGACAAAACACCAATTCAGCTACTTACCTAGGAATGGGTCTCAGGCTGAAGACTGCTTTCTATCATCCTGAAAGGAGGAAAAGAGTCAAACTGCTCTTCCCTGCTGGGAGCAAGCTCAAACTTCATAAAGGAGTTACCTGCCTTCCATCATCATGGAAACAGGAAATCATGTCTTCCTTGTTGGAAGCAAGTAAAACTTCAAAAGAAAGAGGAGTTGTACAGCAAGAGCCTTTAGATCTTGACTAAATTTGGGGAGATTAGAGATTCTCTGGCAGGGGTGCTCCCAGAATTCAGCAAATTGTCCTATTGGTTTGAGCCATAAAGTTAGCTCATCCTGGTACCAAGTACCAATAGGTGATTTTTCAAAGGTCAACAGCATCTCCACTCAGAATCCCTTCATAGTTACCAAAATGTAAACCCCCAAGATCTGAGACAGGTCTCAGTTAATTTAGAAAGTTTATTTGCCAAGGCTGAGGACACATGCCCATGACACACAGCCTCAGGAGGTCCTGATGACATGTGCCCAGGGTGGTCAGAGCACAGCGTGGTTTTATACATTTTAGGGAGACATGAAACATCAATCAACATACGTAAAATGAACATTGGTTCAGTCTGGAAAGGTGGGACAACTCAAAGCAGGGAGGGTGCTTCCAGTTCACAGGGAGCTGAGGGGCAAATGTTTGCATTCTTTTGAATTTCTGATTAGCTTTTCCATGGGAGGCAATCAGGTATACATTTATCTCAATGAGCAGAGGGACAACTTTGAATAGAATGGGAGGCAGGTTTGTCCTAAACAGTTCCCAGCTTGAATTCTCCCTTTAGCTTAGTGATTTTGGGGGCCCAAGATATTTTCCTTTCACAGCATAGTAATATATGCTTTGATACCAGTTCCCTACAATGGTCTTCAGGAAATGCCACCAACAGCTGTGTGACCAGAGCAATGCATTTACCCTCAATCAAAGCTTGTTTCCTTCCAAGCAAAATGAACATAATTGTGTGCCGGATAGTGTTGTTGTAAATTAAGTAGAGTAATGTATGCTAAGCAACTTGTATGGGACTTAGCACAGAGTAAGCACTCAACAAGTGTTAGTTCCTAATACAGGAAAGCTTCTCTGGGACATAATTAGGGCAAAAAAGAACTAGAATGTTGAAAAGCATAATTTTTCTTTAGCTGTAATTTTTTCTCCTTGTCTTTAACTTTGCACCTTCAAAAGACTACATTTTATTTGTTTGTTTTTGAGATAGAGTTTGGCTCTTGTTGCCCAGGCTGGAGTGCAATGGCACAATCTTGGCTCACTGCAACCTCTGCCTCCCAGGTTAAAGTGATTCTCCTGCTTCAGCCCCGCAAGTAGCTGGGATTACAGGCCCCTGCCACCACACCCAGCTAATTTTTCTATTTTTCATAGAGATGGGGTTTTACCATGTTGGCCAGGCTGGTCTCGAACTCCTGACCTCAGGTGATTCACCTGTCTTGGCCTCCCAAAGTGCTGGGATTACAGGTGTGAGCTACTGTGCCCAGCCAAAAGACTATATTTTGAAGCATTCCTTTTTTTAAAATGGTACTTAATTATTTTATTAGTTTCCTTTGGTTGCTATAACAAATAATCACAAACTTGGTGGCCAAAACAAAGAGAATTTTATTTTCTCACATATGTGGAGAATGGAAGTACAAAATCAGCATCACTGAGCCAAAATCAAAGTATCAGAAGGGCCATACTCCCTGTAGAGGCTTTAGGGCAGCAGTCCCCAACAATTTTTGGCACCAGGGACTGGTTTTGAGAAAGACAGTTTTTCCAGGGACCAGCGGTTGGGGGTGGGGAGTGGTTTCAGGATGATTCAAGCACATTACATTTACTGTGCACTTTATTTGTATTATTTTTGCAGTGTAATATATAATGAAATAATTATAACTCATTATAATGTAGAATCAGTGGGAGCCCTGAGCTTGTTTTCCTGCAAGTAGACAGTCCCATCTGGGGGTGATGGGAGACGGTGACAGATCATCAGGCATTAGATTCTCATAAGGAGCTTGAAACCTAGATCCCTTGCATGCACAGTTCACAATCAGGTTCGTGCTATGAGAATCTAATGCTGCTGCTGATCTGATAGGAGGTGGAGCTCAGGCAGCTATGCGAGCAACGGGGAGCTGCTGTAAATACAGATGAAGCTTCACTCACTCGCCCACCACTCACCTCCTGCTGTGCAGCCTTGTTCCTAAAAGGCCAGGGATTGGTACTGTTTCCTGGCCCAGGGTTTGGGGATCCCTGCTTTGGGAAACAGTCTGTTTCTAGCTCCTTCTAGCTTCTGGTGGCCATGGCATTCTTTGACTTGCAGTCATATCACTCCAGTCTTCGAGGCCAGCATTTAAAAATCTCTCTCTGTTCTATTTTTACATTTCTTTTTATGTGTGATCAAATCTCCGTCTGACAGGTAAGGATACCTGTGACTACATTTAAGCCTCAACTGGATAATCCAGGATCATCTTCCGATGTCAAGATCACCGACATATTTGCAAAGTCTTTGACATATAAGCCAATATTGACAGGACCCAGGCATTCAGAACTTTTAGCCCGGGGGTCATTATCCAAATTACTACAATTATGTTCCGCTAAAGTTAATTTAAAACAATACAGAAATACTGTTATACATTTAAAATAAATTGGAAAACTTCTTGTCAAAAATAGAAATAACTTTTTTCATAGGTGATATGTTTTCCCATTTCAGACAAATCCTTCTAAAGTTTAAGGAAATTGCTGAACAACTTTGCTGTTCTGGCTGCTTCTTGAGGGTGTTGTGATAGGGCAGGAATCTTGAATACTGCGGGGCAGATGCATGCTGTGCTCAAAGAAAATCAAAACCTGAGACCTCAGGAGTCCATGATTTAATTTTTTTAACTCCAGAGACTCTGGAACAATCTATTCAGAACCTTTGAAACATAACACAATAGAGTCAGCAGAAGGCAGACACAGTGTGAAGCATGACTGAGGTCCAAGGCTTAACCTAGATTATGATTATTCTACCACCTAAAGCTTCTACTTAATAGGACGTATAGAAAAATGGCTTCTTGCTGGTTTCCTTTGTGATATTGGAAATAACAGAACAGCCTAAGCTTCCGTGTTATTGAATTACTTCTGGAGACTTCTGACACATGCGGGGAGGACTGTGCAGTGTGGGAGGCAAGTTAGGAAACACTATGTGTTTTATTCCCACTGAGGGACATTAGCAAGGATGATCCAAGAAAGGTGAAGGCTCCAGGGCTGTAGAACGTGAAGTGACAAGATAAACAAACCTGGCTTTTGGTGTTTTTGTCGAAAGAGTGGTAAAAATAATAATGGTTTAAAAAAATAAACCATGTCCCTCTTGCCTACAGCACTCTTGCTTAAGGGGTTGAATGAGTTTGGGGATGCCTATGGCTCTAAATTCCCTAAATTCTCATCACCGGGGAAGGGATCTGCAGTTGAAAGGCTGAGTGCCCAGGACCAAGGAAGGTAGGATGCCAGGTGCTGCTAACAACTATGTATGCAGCACAATGCCCATCACCGTGGACACAAGGCAAAGCCTCCCACAACCTTCACATCTGTAATCCTCTAGGGTTCTCAGGCAATGCCAGGGAAAGGAAGGAACCTCCCCTTGCCAAACATGATTAGGATTGAACAATTTTCTAACCCTAGTGAGGTTTTAATTTTATTTAAAACAGCAGCAAAACAACAACAATGTGATGTGACTTTAATTTCAGTATTATGGTTTAAGCTTATACACATTATATAGGCATACAGTAAAAGTTACAGAAATGGGACCAAGAATGATTACGTTTAAAAAACGCAGTTTCTGTATAAAAGAACCTGCAACTTTCTGTTAAATAAGTTTTAGTAAAATTAAAACTCTAAAACATAGCTTCTTAACAAAAGCAACAAACAGAACAGTTTGTACAAAATGATTCTATTTGTGTAAAATAGGAGGAAATATTTATACGCATAACCTCAAGTGTGGACAAAATATCTGTTGAAGGACACTCCCGTCACCTTTATAACACTGGTTTCTCCCAGGGAGGACATCTTGGTGGCTGGGGCAGGGACAGGAGGGAGACTTTCCCAGCCTGTGTGAGCTAATAGTGGCAAGTATTTGGGAAAAAAGAAGGGTCTAGACAGAGAAGATGGTGGATCAGAGAAGAGCATGGAGCATGAGAGGGTGGACCTGATGAGGTGGGAAGCCAGGCGTGCCCCACTGCCGGAGCAGGACTGCAAGGGGCTGCTGCAGACAACACATGGAAAGCCACTGCCTCTGAGCCTTTGCATTTGCAGTTCCCTCTGTGTGGAACAGCCTTCTCCCCAGACATCCTTGTTCCTGCCTTCCTGTTTCACCCAGGTGGAACCTTCTGAGGGTACTTATTTAAAATTGTGACCCAATCCTCCCACTTTTTTTGTACTTAATTTTTCTTCATGTCACTTATATACTAAAATACTCTATATTTTACCTATTTATTTTGTTTATTTTCTATCATGATGACAGGACTTTGCGTTTTGATTCCTGATTTCTTTTCTGCTATGCCTGGAGCAGCCTCTGAGATACGTGGCTGCTCAGGAAGTGTGTGCTGACTGTGTAAACAATGAAGTTATGCAAATGGCTCTTGGGTAGTTGATATTCTTAAAGAGAGAGAAGTGTCTATTTCTATATCCTTCTAAGGAAAATAGACTATGAGTACTTTTGATGAATTCCCTAGTTTATACCCCAAAGGTGCATAATTTGCCCCAGATAGAATTAATAATTATTTTAATAAGCCTGTGACTTTGTTACATTTTTCATCATCCTTAGATAGAAAGTTCCAGAGATGATCTCATTATATTATGACTTATGATGAGTACATACTTAGGACAACCCCTAGGAAGATAAAATGATTATGCATGACCCGTATCTCATTTTTTTTTTCACTCTCATCTTTAAGGTTCTGAGAAAATAGAAGAAAAACTGCCAGAAGGAAGAGAAGCTTGACTTCTGTGTGGTTCAGTCTGCATAATTGAATTGCCACATTGTGTCTGGGAGTAGGATAAGGTTAGAAGTGTCTCTTCTACAAATGAGGACATAGGCACAAGGGCATCCATTGGTAATTCAGCAATGGGCTGGGAAGGTGCTCAAATGTTGATGGCTTGGGTTTTCATTTTTTTCCACAATATTTGTTACATTGGATATATTTTTTCTTAAATTTTATCATATGGCTTGTCATATGATACATGTTCATAGTAACAAGCCTGGGTAGGCAAAGGGCAATTCGTACAAGTCAATCCAATTTCCTTGCTGTGGGCTCAGGCAGAAGTCTCTCCAACATTCTTTTCTTATTCCCTGCTTGTCCACCTGCAGTCCCTGCTGCAAAGCCCCCTGGCTCCACACCACAGTAACCTCAGGTGGACACAGCAGGTTGCTCTCTCTACCTTTGCATTCCTTTGCTGGTATGTTCTGTTGTATATCCAGTGGCATGTTTTAAACCTAGAAATTACAAAGTTGGCATTTTTGTTGCTCTCTGGGAACCAATCACTCCTAGTCCACAGGTGCAGATGATGGTGGACCAGCAGCTCACAGTTTGGCTGGAGGAGTTTGTGAAACAGTTGGTTATTTCTCAGTCATTCCAGCACAGTGTTTAGGGCTTTTATCCACCCTCCCCAAATCAATTTTTCACAGTGATGCCAGCCGACTTTAGAATGCTTAGAATCACCTTAGGCTTCTCCATAGTGCCTGAGCTCTATATTAAATACTATATAACTTTGTGGTTGTGGTCAATCCAGAAGGGGAAAATGAGGGGCAGGGAGAAATTAAACCCACAGGAACTGTATGGATTATAGAAATATAATGTGTTTCTTCCTCAAATCTCATTTTCTCATGAGTTGGGATTTTTGTGGCAGCTTTATGTAGAGGAAATAGTGGAATCTGTTGTGTCAACATCTAAAATTGTGATGATAGCTTTAAATTGGGAAGATCTGTAACTAATTGACTCTGTGTCTGATTTTGTGGTTTATGGAATAATGTGGTTAGAGAATTTCGGCCTCAAATCCTTACTCTTTTTTTCACTGGCATTGTGAACATGTCCAGAAATGCTTTCATCTACACAATAGGGATAATACTTTTATTTTGGAGTATTGTTGAGATACATGAGATACTACATGCAAATCATTTAGAACAGAATGATTTGGTAGAGAAATAGTCTCTGAGCTCAGGCCATATGTTGCTTAAAAATAGTCAAATGAATATTCAAATGATGATTTGAATATTTTAAAAATTATTTGTTTCTGAAAGCATGAGAAATAAGAAAGGGATGTTAAAAATAAGCAAACAAACTACCACCAACAACAACAGCAAGTGGGCAAGGCAAGGAAAGAGAGTAAAACAGGTTATTTTCTAGGTATTACGTGAAAGTGTGAATTAGATTTGTTGATACAACATTGGCAATTATTCTTGTTCTATAGAGCCATTTCTAATAGGCAGTATTTTTAATATTATTATTAAAAGTAATATTAAATATTTAATAATAAATATTTGAAAATAACTTAAAAAATTGTATTTTATGCTTTGTGATACTTCAATTTTACAAAGCAAAATTCATAAATATTATATCCCTCTTGGCTATTGTGAGGATAATTTTGAAGATCACCTTTCTTTCTAAAATATGATATGTGTATACTAAAAACCAGGATTGTTCAAATTTATTAAGAAGAAGTGAGAAGCAAGCTAGAAAAACTAAACAAGAGAATGAAATGTTTTCTCTCTGAGTTACCTCACTACTTCGGCAAACATTTAAGTGAGAGATGTAATAACATGTACCCAATATTACCAGCAGGCATGTTAAAATTAGAAGAGACTTTCATAAAGTTCTTGTATACAAGAGACTCACAATTTCCCTCGAAAGGAATCAGAGTCAAAAGATACACCAACACCTCCCTCCTCCCTCTCATTCTTAAGCCCTTTATCTAACTTACATGTACTCATTTGGAGTCAATTTGTTTTCAGTGCACTTTCCTTAGGTAGCAAACTATCACTTCCAGTTCATCATTTTTGTTCTGCATTAAAACGATCAGCTATGTGGTCTCCATCCATTGCATGTATCTTAGAAATTATGAAAAGGTCAAGATTTACTTTCTGGTAACGTCCATGTGTCTATCCACTATCCAGTGTCTAGAATTCTACAGGAGGGGGCTTTGGTGAGTCCATGTGGTTCCTTCCATGGTTCCTAAGGATGACTCTTCCTTTCTAAGCAGTGTATCATGGGTTCACCTACATTATGTCTTTGTTAAATTCAATGATTTTTCAGGCATAAAGATATATCTTTCCCTAGTTTCTTAGAGATGTGATTTCTCCCGCAATGTAATCCTTTAGTAATTTCAGTGGATATTTGAATGATGGATAGGGGTTCAAAATATAAGCTAAGGTCAGCAGGTTAGACTCACATCCAGAAATTAACATTTAAAAATAGATACCTTCTGTTTAAAAGTGTTAATGAATATGGGGAAGCTTCTCTGAGGAAGCTTAACTGAGTCTCTTTCACTCAATCTTTTTGTTTTAAATTTGTATAAATATATGGGGTACAAGTGCAATCTTGTTATGTGGGCATATTGCAAAGTGGTGAAGTCTGGACTTGGAGTGTAGCCGTCACCTGAATAGCGTACATTGGACTCATTAAGTCATTTGTCTTCCCCCACCCCCTTCCACCCTCCCACCCTTCCCAGTATCCAGTGACTATCAGTCCAGACTCTATGTTCATGTGTACATGTTATGTAGCTCCCACTTGTATGTGAGAACATGTGGTATTTGACTTTCTGGTTCCGATTTGTTTCACTTAAGATAATGGTCATCAGTTCCATCCATGTTGCTGCAAAATAGATGATTTTGTATTTTTTATGGCTCAATAGTATTCCATGGTGTATACATTTATACTACAGTTTCTTTATTCAGTTGTTTGTTGATGGATACTTAATTCCATCTCTTTGCTATTGTGAATAGTGCTGCAATAAACATACAAGTGCAGGTATCTTTTTAATATAATTTTTTTTTTTTAGGTAGATACCTAGTAGTGGCATTGCTGGATTGAAGGGTAGTTCTATTTTTAGTTCTTTGAGAAATCTCCATATTGTTTTCCATGGAGGCTGTACTAATTTACATTCCCACGAGCAGTGTGTAAGTGTTCCCTTTTCTCCATGTCCCCTCCAACATCTGTTATATTTTGACTTTTTAAAATAATCATTCTGACTGATGTAAGACAGTATCTCGTTGTGGTTTTAATTTGCATTTCTCTAGTGATTAGTAATGTTGAGCAATTTTTTAGGATGCTTGTTGGCCATTTGTATGTCTTCTTTTGAAAAAATCTATTTATGTCTTTTCCCCACATTTTAATGGGGCTATTTGTTGGTTTTTGAGTTGTTTTAGTTCCTTGTGAATTCTAAATATCCGTCCTCTGTCAGATGCATAGGTTTCAAATATTTCCCCCCATCCTGCAGGTTGTCTGTCTACTCTGTTGATTTTTTCTTTTGCTCCTTCTACTCAATCTTTTGTCCTTGTTTTGACACATTTTTATAGTGATATGCTTAGAAACATAGGAACTTTGTTCATTTAAGGGCAAATAATATAATATCAGCAATAGGTTAATACCTGGAATTACAGGATAAGATATTGCCAATATTTCTAAATTCTTATGTTAAAAGTAAACCTTTCTGGCCAATAAAAGCATAATATTTTTAATTACTACAATGCAAAAATTAAACATGTTTGCTTTTCCTTTTTTTAATTCTAAGATACAGTAACTGTGGTGGATTGTCACAGTAGTGGCCCCCAGTGGATCTTGCTTTTCTGTATTCCTGCACAAGTATAGTTTGCCTTTATTGACTCTGGGCTTTGTCCATGTGTCTTACTTTGGTTAGTGAAACATCAGCAAATGTAAAACAAGAAGAAACTTGAAGAGCATTTGCTGATTACAGCTTGATTACTTAAAAGGCCTTTTAGAGAAGCCAGGTATTACAAGAGAAAGATGACCCAGATAGTAGTGTGAGGCACCATAGACCATAGAGCTCCACTTGAGCCATCAAGTAACTGCAGGCATATGGTTGTCCCAAGTAAGATCAACAGAAAGCCACCCAGCTGAGCCCAGTCAAATTTACTAAGCCACAGTATTGAAAGTAAATAACATGGTTGTCATTAAACTAATACATTTTGGGGTAATTTGTTATATGAATTTATATATTGAAAACACTCTTTTTTTTTTGAGACGGAGTCTGGCTCTGTCACCCAGGCTGGAGTGCAGTGGCACGATCTCGGCTCACTGCAAGCTCCACTTCCCAGGGTCACACCATTCTCCTGCCTCAGCCTCCCGAGTAGCTGGGACTACAGGTGCTTGCCACCATGCCTGGCTAATTTTTTATATTTTTAGTAGAGATGGGGTTTCCCGTGTTAGCCAGGATGGTCTCGATCTCCTGACCTTGTGATCCACCTGCCTCAACCTCCCAAAGTGCTGGGATTACAGGCATGAGCCACTGCACCTGGCCATGAATACACTCTTTAAGGTAAATACTTGTCAAGGGAAACTTCATTTTTGAATGGATACAAGCCTTTAATAATTAACATGCTATTATGAGATATAATTCTCTGATTCATATTGTGGCAGTAATGAGAATGTGCTGCCTAGATGTCTTTTAAGAAAGAATTTACTGCAATGAAAGAGAGAGAGCTTTCAATTTCCAGCTGCTGCAAGTTCAGGATACACCATACATTTATTGCAGCTCTGTCTGAGTTACTCTCAGCCGATGACTGAGCACAATGTGTTTAATGGAGCCAAAGCATTCCTATCCAATGTATGACTCCTCTAATGGGCATTCATCACTCTAAGACTCTTCATTTGCCTGGTGGATAATTTCTCTGAGCTGTACTAATGAAGCATCATCACTCTTCATATCTCTTTCGTTTTACAGGTTTAAATACTGTATATAGTGATCTGAAAGCTCTCCTTGTTTGACCTTTATACTTTTTCTTTATGTACCTCCAAAATGCTGTTCCATTCTCTTCTGTCGTTCTTGACTTCTGATAAAGACTCCATTGTCATTTGAATTTGGAATTGTTCTTTCTTTGTATGAAATGTTTTGTTTTTCTCTGCTTGCTTTCATGACTTTCTCATTAGCTACTTTCTTAATTTTATCTTTATCTTTACTTTTCTGCAGTTTGCTTATATGTCTAGCTGTATTTTCCTTAGAATATATTCTGTCTCACTAAACTTTAATTGTTACAGTTTTTATATTTTCCCACAGGTCCTTGTGGCTCTGTTCATTTTGTAAAATTTAACTTCTGTATTCTTCAGAATTGATTTTTACAATCCATCTTCAAGTTCACCAGCTCTCCTCTGTCATAATCATTCAGCTCTTAATCTCATATACTAAACTATTTTATTTCAGACTTTTTTTAGTTAGCAAATTACAATTGGATTCTTTAAAAATTTTTTCTATTTGTTGAGGTTTCCTATTTTTAAATTAATTACAGTCATTTTTACCTTTACTCATAATAACTCATAAATAGTCCATTTCAGATAATTCAAAATTCAGGGTAATCTTAGGGTCAGGCCCAGTTTATTGTCTTTTCTCTTGATAATCATCCATACATTTGTCTCTCATGTTGCATAAATTTGGTTTGTATTATAAACATCGAAATACTATGTTGTGGGGACTCTAGATTCACAGAGTTATCCAAAAAGTGATGATGCTATTTTACTTTAGTGCACAATAAGTTTGGTTAGACTCAAAGTGCTCATTGCCTCTTGTCTGTGGTGGTAAGAGCTCCAATATTATTTAAAATAGCTTCCAATCTACCTGATACCCATGTAGTTCAAGGACTAGGGTAGAGTATATGCACAAAGTTTCTGGTTTTCTTTAACTGGGTCGCTACTTTCTGTTTTTCTCTTACTCCCTGTTGGTCCTAGTTACTTTGGTTTTGAAATCCTGATATCAATGTTTTAAAATATATACCCAGAAGTGGGATTGCTGAATTATATGATAGTTCTATTTTTAATTTTTTGAGAAACTTCTATACTGGTTTTCATAATGTCTATAACAATTTACATTATCACCAACAGCATGTGCAAGGATCCCCCCTTCTCCACATCCTCACCAACAACTGTGATTTTTCATCTTTTTGGTAATAGACATACTGACAAGTATGAGGTGATATCTCATAGTGGTTTCAATTGCATTTCCCGGATCATTAGTGAAGCAGAGCACCTTTGCATACATTTGTTAGTCATATGTATGTCTTCTTTTGGGAAAAAAATGTCTTTTCAGGTCCTTCACCCATTTTGTAGCCAGATTATTAGTTTTCTGTTTTGTTTTGTTTTCCTATTGAGTTGTATGAATTCCTTGTTTAAAAGTAAAGAAACTATTTCAAACACTTCATTGCTGCTTACCTGACTGTTTTTAATCTTCCTCCAACCTCTCATCTCTTTTACTACTGCCTTCACAATGCATAACTATGCTTATGATATTTTACTACAACTAAAAATGTAATTGTTCTTCTTTACCCATAAAACATTTTTTTTTTCTCTCACATGACATTCAAAGCTAGTCATATTTTGGAACCATCTTCCATTTCCCCAGTTTTCTTTCTTTCACAAATCTCTATAACTTATTTTAAATAGATTTATTATTTTTTCAACATTCCTATTTATAGAACATCATCTTATAAAGCTGATAATAGAAAAAAAGCACAAATATAGTGCAACTAAATTAATGCAGGATGAAATGAAAATCAAAGAAATAAAAGAAATGAAGAAAAATCTATGATAAAGAAATCAGGGCTGAGGATAGATAATGTAATAGAATCCAAAACGTAACTCAGTTTTTTATCAAACATGCTAACAAAGGAAATATGATAGATCATACAGAAGTCTTATTAGTTACTAGTTGAAAGATTAAACTTTACATATACCATGCTGACTTTTTTTCTCAAAACACTCTTTTTGCTTTCTTGAATTTGATTTTCAGAACTTTTACTTGGAGTCTCTCTCTCTCTTAAATCACTATTTATCAAGAACTAATCAATCCAGACCCTGTTGAAAATCTTCTCCATGAAACTTTACCTATCCCCATCAGGATAAATCTCTTCTTTCTTTTTCCAATTGTGTTTGTTTTTGTACTTATTCAACTATTGCCATTTTTGGTAGTGTGTACTGAATGCTTTTTTTCTCTTTGTTATCATCCTTTGTAGGAATTCTCTAGGGATAATCATAATGCTTAAATAATATTGCTTTCATTGAATTCCCTCCCTTTAAATGTTAAAATCCTAAACGGATTCAGAACAATGAATATATGATTTATTTAAATTTTCCAAATCTTCAGGACTAGAGAAAATTAGAGAGAAAGAAGTTTTCAAATAAGTCAAATGGTGTGCAAAGACATTTCAGAGAAATTTTGTGTTCCTGAGATGGGATGCTATCTCTCTGAAGAATCATCTCCTACTAATCTGCAGACTCCTCTGTGGTGGTGGGGTGGAGGTGGAGAACAAAGGCCATCATGATCAGTACTGCCTAAAAATAGACATATTTTGTGAAGGTCTAGTGACAAGTAATCCAAGATAATCATGCCAGCAATATTTTAAAAGACTAGTTGTCAGCTAGGGAGAAGGAGTAGTTGTTATGAGATTGCAGACACAAGATGTTAAAAAAGAATATCTACCCAGAATAACATATTTCTAAATCTACCTGTGAAATTTTTCTAATCAAAACTCAAACTTCAGTGTCTGGGAAGATAATGATACATTGTTAGAAAATCCACGGAGCTTCTTGAGACGACAGCCTCATCATCACTAGTTGATGTCTGACGAGGACTATTTGCATTTCCTGCCAATCTCCTACTCTGTTCCGTTTCATTCTTGGGAGGGTAGATCCTGGCTTAAAGAGATTGTGTAGAAGCTCCTTCTCTTCATCTACAGGGCTCCCTCCTATGCACTGCCATCAATATCATTTCCATCAGCCATGTATTAAGTATCTACAATGTGTAACGCCCTTGGGATTCAAGAGACACTAACTGGTAATATACCAATAGGAAAGTCACCATTCATTATACCAATTAATGTTACAATTAGTAATTTATTCAGGAGTTTAGAGTGAGTAGGTCTTACCTAGGTAGAAGGAGGAGAAAACATTCTGAGTGAAAAAAGGGAATAAAGACTAAGTCAATATGCTGAACCCAATTGCATAGAATTAAATTGTCCATCTAGAGAAGTAAGGGAATACATCAATTAAAAACGATTAAAGGTAACATTTTACATAAACTTGGATTTTAGGTAAAGAGGTATAGATTTCATTCTGCAACAGGGGAATTATTAAATGTTTGAGGAAGCAGGTAGTATATAGAGTAGAAGTTAAAAATAAGGGAGGCCACAAATTTATTTATTTATCATGTATTTAACATAAACATGACACCAAACTTCTAGAGATAGAAAAGTGAGTAGATTCACTACCTTCTATATGAACTTGGCATGGCAGAGAGTGATAAATTGTCACAAAACAGCCATAATACAGCATGTTTAGTGATACGGAAATAAATATAAATATATTGTTCTCAGTGCAGAGAAGCAGGAATGCTTTATTCTACTTTAAGGAAAGGAAAGCATTTATTCTACTTTAAGCAGACAAGGCAATTATAAATAGGATTACTTTAGCCTAACCAAGAAGAGGATAAAGGCAATTTCAAGTGCAAAGAAAAGTGAGTTTAATGACACAGAATCCTAAATGGTTAGAAAATACTCAGTAAGATGAGGCTGGGCACAGTGACTCATGCCTGTAATCCCAGCACTCTGAGAGGCTGAGGCGGGTAGATCACCTGAGGTCAGGAGTTCAAGACCAGCCTAGCCAACATGGTGAAACTTTGTCTCTAAAAATAAAAAAATAAATAAATAAATAAGGAAATACTGAGTAGGATGATATGATTGGAGCTGTATAAAAAGAGCTGAAACTCCCAGCACTGAAGCACAATTTTGCAATGTGTTGAAAGAGTTGAGGAGTTGAAGGACTTGAAATTTTGGATATAAAGTAGTTGATTGCAGAGATTAAAAGCAAATGATTGTGTCAACTCTACTTAAGTATAGAGTACAGTTAACCTACATATCTGTACAACTATAGATGAATTAAGCCCAATTGAAATAAGAGTTATTGTTAGTTGTATGCACTGTATGTGTCTGGCTCCTTGCTGAGCACTTTCAAATTATTTACATTCTGGGAACGCCAGTTGACTGAAAGCTACTTCATTCTTTTTACAAAGATATATTGAAGACTTGCTATATGCTAGGCTGTCTTAACAGCAGCGCAGGAAAAAAATTCCCTTTCACAAGTGATACCTCCATACTGGATGGTACCATCTTCCTCACTCTAAGGGCTACACACAAGGTTTAGTGCAGGACAGTCAACTATGCACCTCTAGACAAAGACCACCTGGAACACACCTGGAGTCAACAAGATGGGTTTCTTATTTCTTGCAGTGAGAGAGACTCCACATCATGGAATAACTTGGGGCATCTCAGTGAGAGAGTGAGCCTTTCTAAATAAGGAGTTACAGATTGGCCCTTGGGATTCAGATTGGAGTGCATTAGGTCATCTTGGAGACAGTTCAAGAAGCCAAGAATTGGTTGTAGATTAGATGCTGTCAGAAAACGGAAAATGCTATGGAAGAGCATCTTAGTAAATATTACCTAGAAGAGGACAGACTACAACAAGGCTATAGCATAATCATAAAGAGACAGCAGTTCCTCATATCAGCTGGGAGAGATTGATACTTGGTATTTTGGTGATTTGTACCATTAGGAGACCTTTTTGTTTGTACTCTGAAATTTTTGTTTGATTTTTGTACTCAGAAAAAAATTATGATGGGGTCTTGTTTTGCGTCTTACTTCATCATAGTTGCAGAGTGACCTCGTCTGATGTTGGTGTTTTGTTAAATAATTTATCTCCAAAAGGAGAACAACATGATATAGCTGTTAGCACCGGGCCAGCTCTTAACAACACCAAGACTTATTTTTCCTGGATGTCAGAGGCTGGTCTCTCTTTCTCAGAATTTACTGTCAAGTTAAGATCTAATGTAATCATCCCCAAACTCCTGTCTTCCTGATCACGCAAGAAATAGCTCGCTTTTCTAACCTTGTTTAACTTGAGGCCTGGTATTGCTACTTTTCTGTGTCAAACTCTAGACTCCATTTTCAATGGTATTGGTTGCCTTCTAGATGTATATTTGTAAGGTTTGGATCTGTGTCCCCACTCAAATCTCATGTTGAAATGTAATCCCCAGTGTTGGAGGAGGGACCTGGTGGGAGGTCATTGGCTCATGGGGGCGGGCTTCTCATAAATGGTTTAGCACCATCCTTTTGATGCTGTTCTTGTGATAGTGAGTGAGTTCTCAGAAGATCTGATTGTTTAAAAGTATGTGGCACCTCCCTTTCTCTCCTGCTCTGGCCATGTAAAAATGCCTGCTCCCCCTTAGCCTTCTGCCGTGGTTATAAGTTTCCTGAGGCTGCCCAAGAAGCTGAGCAGATGCTGCCATGTTTGTTGTATACCCTATAAATCTGTGAGCCAATTAAACCTCTTTTCTTTATAAATTACTCAGTCTCAGATATTTCTTTATAGCAATGTGAGAACAGACTAATACATTATCAACAAAAAGAGTAATAGTAATAGTGGTATTAGTATTTGTTCTCATCTAGCTGACTGCAAGACTTTTCTGGTTATTTTAGAAAAACCTAATTCTTCTTTATAGTTTCAATTCCTCTCCATTGATAATTGAAACTATTGTTATTTTATTTTCAGCCATTGCCTTTGCAATTTCTTACTTGCAATTTGTCATCCTAAGAAGATATTTGTTTAATCCTCAATGGCAAAAAGCACGTATTTTTAAATCAATGTTTCTTCCTGCATTAGCCCTGTACAGCCCATGTTGAAATCACACAAACCTCTGCAGCTCCAAGGCTACCCTCCCACCTGGACTGTTGGTGATATGAGGTTTAGGACCTCCTGCTGTGTGAGAAGTCTGCACTAAATTGGCTATGCTGCCACACAGAGTCCTCTCACTCCTTTACCCCCTAGACTCTACTGGCAAAAACACAGAGCACATGTTCAACCAGTAGGGCTTCCCATTTAGCTGCTTCCCATCCCTCTAGCTTTTTTTTCCCCTACTTACCTTTCTTCTTCACTCACACTGGAGAAAACCATGGATCCTCACATTTTTTTTTCTGAGAAGAAAAATTCATATTCTGGGCATGCTTGGAAGATTGTCTTGAAGAGCTGACTCTTTTTTAGCGTTTATATTTCTGTGTTTTTTTTCAAAAATTATCTGGTTCTCACACACTTATAGATGCCGTGTTGCTGTAAAATGCTGTTGCGTTCTTAGCAGGTGATCCCTTCTAATAATCTGCACTTTCCTGAACACTTTCTTGCCTGAATGCATGTCAGTTTATATTGGAATTTGCTGCACTGAGTAATGGCAGGTGAATTGGTGTATATTGGTTTTGGTCGGGTCTTTTTGGGTTGTTTTTGTTGTTGTTTTCTGGAGAGACAGGGTTTTGCCATGTTTCCCAGGCTGATCTGGAACTCCTGGGCTCAAGTAATCCACCCACTTCTGCCTCCCAAAGTGCTAAGATTACACAGTGAGCTACTGTGCCCAGCCCCTAATATTTTTTACATGGCAAACCAAATGAGCTTGTGTTTAGAGATTTTGTAGAGTATTGGAGCATGTGCACACACAGACAGACACACACACACACACACACACACACACACACACAGAGAGAAGCCCCAGAAGTTACATGGCAATAACTCAATATTATGTGTGATTTGGGGAATTGTGGTGCTAGCCTACTGTGTCTTTCTGAAGCCAGGCAGATCATGTGCATGATCTCAGATATTCTCAAAGTCCTTAATTCCTTGAGGCATGTAGAAATGATTAAAAATTGTGTGATGTTTCGAAAGATCCCTGTGATATTTGTCACAGATTCTCACATTGTTCGTATTGTGACTAGCTGTTTCAGTACACACTGTTTGAGTTCTTTTCAATAATCTCTTTTTGCCTCCTGCCTGGAGTATATTATGTAGTAAATGAGTATATTTGTTATTTTAAAATATGCTGATTTGCAGTTGTGAACACAACTGCTCTGGAGATTAGTTGATGCTCTGTTTGCAGAAAAAAAAGTACAAAAGAAAAATCATATTGCTAAAAATATTTAAAAGCCTCAGTTTATATCTGTCCACTTTTCTGTTTGTTTATATTTTCTCTAATTGTCTATTAATACCACTCCCCTGGAACAAGCATGTTGGCTATTTTCTTACAGACGAACTCTACGAATCCTGAGGATTTATTAACCATAAAACAAAACAAAACAAAAACTTGCTCCCTAGATGAGAAACTGCTAAATTGGCTATAAAACTATTCAGAAAAACCCAATCTAACACCAGGGGCTCAGAAAACACAAACAAGGAAGCTCATGGTTCTATTTCCCTGTCTCATTTCACATTGAAAATTGCTTCATAAAAGACATTGGTAGCAGGTTAGGAATGTAAAAAATACTTTTTCCACCTTTTGAGACCAAAGGCAGTCTTGCCTTCTTTATTACAAGAGATTCAAATTTCATGATTTATGTTTCTGTTTTCTTAATTCTGCCTTATAAAAGATGCTGAACACCAGAAAAAAGGAAAGGACCATCCCAGCATATGATACTTTTAATGTCCCTGCTGAGCTTCACGTCCGTACTGAGTGCAGTATTACAGTGTAGTCAAGGGTGTGCAATATGTTTTTTAGCCTAAGTGTAGCATACACCAGTGGACAGAGATGGGAAAGGAAACCAAATTATCATGGTGATTAAAAGTGGAAAAGGCTTTCTTTGGCACAAGGAAATGTCAAAAGCAAATAGTAAATATATGGGAAAAAAAAAGAACACTCAAGTTCCAAAGTACTGTGGCTCTCTGATCACAAGATGTCCTTTCTGTATACATCAACGAGAAATACATTTTTTTTCTTTTTTTGAAGCTTTAGACAGACAATCCTAAAAGGGAACAGACAAAAGAATTTTTTAAAAGAATGAGCAATTTTTATTATGTAATATTGTGTAAAATGTTGAAATATATATATAACATATAATTCAAAGATGAAATATATTTTTAAAACAAAAGTGAAAAGCTTTTTAAAAATTCAAAGATACAATTTAAATTAGAAAAACTATTTTAAAGATTAAAACCATTGAAAATTTGATTTTGTATATAAATAAGCTATGAAATAAAATTTAAAGCTAAAGAAAGAAAATATAGACGCTAAAAATTAGAAAAAATATATTCAGATCACCTGTTGGCATTAGTGTTTATTAGAGTTTAACTATTCATTTTTGTGTGTTTTGTTACTTCTTATTTAATTAAGATGTGTTTATCTCATTAAAAGATACTTGTAACTTTGCATCAACATTTTCGGCATATACTGCTTTTGTTTTCAGATCACATTTGGGACCTTGTTTACTATGTCTCTTGTCTATGAGATTCCTATTTTCATCTTTTTCTTACACTCGCAGTCAGCACAGCTGTAAAATCTGAGGTCACCGTCCCCACACAAGACCTCTCTCACTTCCGACATCAACCACAAGTTTAGTGGTGCCCCAAACCACCCTCAGTTCTGGTAATTCACTAGAAGTTTTCACAGATCTCATTGAAAGCTATTCTATTCATGGCTATCATATATTACAGAGATAGGGTACATTAAAACCAGCCAAGGGAAGAGAGAGACACAGGGGACAAGGTATAGGAGAGCTCCAATTGCAAAGTTCTGGTGGCCAGAGTTTTTTGTTAGGGATTTATTGTATTGGTATAATTGATTGATTGATTACTCCCATGGTCAACTCAGCAACTAGGTTACTGATACTGCTTGACCCAAAGCCCCTGCACTCTAATCACATGGCTAATCTTTCTGACATGGCCAGCTCTACCCTGAGACTGTTGGGTATGGCCAACCGTATCCTCAGACCCAGTGTGGCAAGCCCCCATCCTATCTGATACAAAGATATATGTATCAGATATAATATACATTACTTTCCAGAAGCCAAGGGCAAAAGCCTGACCTCCTCTTTGGCACACTGGCAAGACCAAACTTTTTTTTTTTTTTAATAAGAGATAGCATCTCACTTTGTTGCCCAGGCTGGAGTATACAATGGTGCGATCATAGTCACTACAGCCTCAAACTCCTGGGCTCAAGACATCCTCCCACCTCAGCCTCCTGAGCAGCTGGAACCACAGGTGCACATTACCTCACCCACCTAATTTTAAAATTATTATTTTAGAGACAGAATCTCACTACATTGCCCAGGCTGGTCTCGAACTACTGGTTTCAGATAATCCTCCCACATTAGCCTCCCAAGTAGCTGGGATTACAGGCACAAGCCACTGTGCTGGGCTCCAAGGCCAAACTTTTAGCTAAACCAGCCAATGCAAGCCTAACAAAAAACTCTGGCCACCAGAACTTTGCATTTGGAGCTCTCCTATACCTTGTCCCCTGTGTCTCTCTCTTCCCTTGGCTGGTTTTAACATACCCTATCTCTGTAATATATGATAGCCATGAATAGAATAGCTTTCAATGAGATCTGTGAAAACTTCTAGTGAATTACCAGAACTGAGGGTGGTTTGGGGCACCACTAAACTTGTGGTTTAAACTTGGCTCTCTTACAGCCAAGTTGGACATTTTGTAAATGTCCAACATTTACAAAAACTAGTATGTTCTGGGGATAGGAGGATTTTACCTCATTTTTCCAATACATTTGACCATCAGTACTGGTATTATCATCTTACCAACACCACCAGTGTTATATCATGGCACAGTGTGGTTGACGTGACTTGAAAAATGAGATAGTGATGCATTACCAGAGTCCCACTTAGTCATCAATAATTAGTCCAGTCCATCATCACACAGAACCAAAACGTCCCAGAGAGATTTCACTTAGTTTCATTAGCTTTCTTTTGAACTTGTCAGATTGTGAGAACAGATATGATCTTGGCAACACATGGCTTCCTCCTTTCAGGCATCTGGTATCATTGAGCTAAGAGATAACATTATCTCTTGCTCTGAGTGGCAATGTAATATTGGATTTCCCTTGGTGCATAATTCTTTTATTAATTCCTTTACCCTCAACTAGTGTTCCTCCTTCTCTCCACTTAATCATTTTATCCAAACTTTTTCACCCTTTAGAAGGAATGTTAAGTTTGACTGCTGTGCTAGTCCATATTTCCAACAGCATTATTAGTCTACCAAGTGCCCCCCGCCAGTTCAGTCCATTTCCACTTAAATAGGGGAGAGCTATAGACATACAGAACTGGTGAGCTTTCTTAACCACTGGGCAATTGACTGCATTTACTGTCAACTCCAATATTTCCAAATGGGGTGAAGACACAATTCACCCCATCAGGCCTTTACAAATTCCGACTTAAAGCTTTAACAATATAGTTATACTCTCTTTCTTAGAGATATTCCTGATTCTTGGACCTATAATTGCAGTCCTGACCTTGAGACCACTAAATCAGGAAAGAAAAGGGGAAGTTGAGGTGATGTGGGGAAAAGAGGAAAAAGAATAGTCATACCAGTATTCTTTTCTACCCACTCCTTCCTAAATCCTCCAGTTAAGTGGAGAAATCTATCTTTCGGAAATTTTCCCTTGGCCACTCTCATGTTAAGTGTAAGCATAGGCTCACGAAAGCAGGTTAGCCACCCCTCCTTGCCTCATCTCCCTTTCTTTTAGACAACAAATGTTCCACTTGTCTTTTTCAAGTCTATGTCAAACTCTTACCCTAAGGAGGATATCTCTCTATGCGCTGTTGGACACTATGGGCTGAAAAGTGTACTTCTTAGTCTGAAAAAATGTGACTCAAAGTGGTGCAATATTTTCTGCTCTGGTGCTTTTATAGTACTTTGACAATTTCTCTCTACCACTGGCTATGACAAGCCCAGTCTACTCTAAGCTCCTGCCAGGACGCATCTGTAGGCCCCTAGGGCTACCAATATCAGTCCCAGTTACCAGCTATGTGTGATGCCTTCCCACCCAGGGAACTTCCCCCATCACCATTTGCAGTCTTTGTCTCTCCAAATGGCAAATAGTACAATTTTATAGGCATTTTATTTGTGAGAGTGTGGAAGAGAATTATGTCTAGATTCAGCTCATTTCAGCATTGCTATGGGCCCCCAATGTCCACTAATTTAGTGGACCAAGATGTCCACTTCCAGGGAGCACATCAGAATATCTACTAACTGGTCCTAATCATCTTCTAGTCTTGGAAGGAAGTTCTTCTGATGGGCATTGACATGTCTAATGCACCCTCTAAATTCCTACAGTGATTTCCATAGGGCCAAGCTCCATGCAAGCTTCTATTTAATAGGCCAACTTCCCCTTGTCTTACCATACTACCCATGACTTGTTAGAAAACAAACACAGGGACAAATAGCATGCAATTCCGCCCCCTGATCTGATTTGCTTTTAGCTTCTTCTACCAGAGCAGTGGCCTTTCAAACAGGATCCTGTCCATTCACTTTGCAGCTACTCATCCATATACCATGTGGCTTTTTGTTGGTAAGTTGAGAACTGGTCATGGAGCACTGAACAAATAGCAATAAGCTCTGGCAGCTCTGCAGTTGGTTCCAAAGTCATCCCCAGGACAAAGGAAGCTGAATGCTCATGAGTACCTGCTTGCATTCCCCTGGTAGCATGTTCCTGTACAAACCATTTCTATTTGTCATAGAATTCTTCTTGGCATTGTCTTGTCCATTAGAATGCTTCTCTGACATCAACCAAGACATTATATGTATTTCAAGTTTGAGGATTAGTTCATGTCCTTCAGTTATAGGAGCAACTCAATTAAAGGCCAATAGCAAGCTCTTCATTGTCTCTCATTTGGAAATTTTCAGGTTCAAATTCTGACAGTATTCAGAAGCTACAATACAAAATGTCAATAGTTTCTATTTACATTAAAATTATTTTTATTTCTCTTATTAAGTCAAACTTCTTTTTTTACAGAAATGTTTCATTGGAATTTTTGCAGATTTTGAGTCAGCTGCCTTGGACTATAACTGTTAAGAATATACAGTATAAATCTCAGATTTCAGTCCAATTATGTTACCTGATCAAATAGGTCTCATGGAACTTATTTAAATTAAAGTAATCATACAACTTTAAGGAGCTATGTGTAGCATTTTAGGGATCCAATGTACTCAGCAGAGTTTTTATAAATTAAAGAAATTGTACAGCTTTAAGGAGCTATCTGTAGCACTTTAGGCATCCAATGAACTCAATAGAGTTTTAAAAGTCTTAGTATATCCTGGCACGAAGTAGGCAGCATCCTCCATATTCTTTTGTGGTGACAACCTAGAAGGCTATGAGTACTGTCCACGCATAGATAATGTTAAGGTTACTTAACCTCCCTTCTTTCATAAAGCCAGGCTCTAGAATGTAAAAATTCATTCTACATGCAGATTTTCCTGGTCCTATGAGATGTCGTGATTGTTAAAGATGAGCAAAGATTTACAGACTCAATTTTGAGACCTCAAGAGATTGTCACCCACACTATAAAATCTACAGCAAGTGTGGTCTCCATTATAAAGAAAATAAATTAAAATTTATGTTTATAAATCACATCTCTACCAAGATACTGTGTATCAGTTTTCCAAGGACTGATCAAGCATTCAATCTAGAATAAAGATCTAAGCCAGGAGAGCTGCTAAATCAACCCTAAGGAGAAATGACAGGTTTCAACATCTACTAAGAAATGCTAATTAGTTAATTACTAATTATATGTTGAAGAAAACTACTGATTTAGTTAGTACTAAAATTATCACTTATGTAACCGTAGATAGTAGGTGAGTAGCTAGATAATTGATAGGTAAATAGATCATAGATAGGTAAGTATAATAGTAAATGTGTGGTTATATTTCTTACAACTTTTCTCCCCTTGCAAATGCTATAAGATATGGAACATTTTTTTATCAAGCCTGATGTTGGGAAGCTGGACCCTTGCCTGAGAAATGATGAAATACAAGAATCAAAATTTTAGGAGACTCTCTCACAAAGCAGTCCATGGAAAAACACAAAGAAGATCCAGGTCTTCAGATTCCTCTCCAGGGTTAATGAGAGTTGCCTGGTTTTATTTTTCACCATGCAATCATTTTTTTATGTCCCAGGAGGTGGAATATCGGAGCTTAATTTAAGGCTCTCATGTCTGGATGCAAGACTGGGCTTGAAATCAAAGCCAGCTCTACCATTCATTCATGGTAATGTCTTTTAAAAGTTATTTAATAACCCCATTCCTCATTTTTCTCACTTGCAAAATAAGTGTATTAATAACAATTACCTCATTTGGCAGTTGTATTCACTTAGTTAGTATAGCATAATTTTTATATTCCTAACACAAAATAAGTATTATATTTGTAAAGTGATGCTATTAATGGAAGATTTACTATTAACTATTAACTATGCTCTATCAATACTATTGACTATTGATTATGCTGAAGTCATGTTATAATTCCCTAAAGGTCATCTATAAATGCATAACACAATTCAGAGTACTTCTTTATTGTAGCTTTATTGTAGCTCTCATCCTAGTTTTAGTTAAATTACTAATTTTAAAATTACTCTCAGTTGTTTCAGATACTATATAAGTTCCAACAGGGTAATGATTGTGTGTGTGTGTGTGTGTGTGTGTGTGTGCTCATAGCAATACAACAGTGACTAGTACAGTAGTTGAATAAAATAGATGCTTAATAAATCTTTGTGCTTAATAATTTACAGTTGAGGAATTGCAGGTTAAATGAGCTAAGTGACCTTCCTAAGGTCAAAGTTAATGATAAGTTAAGCTACATTTAGAAGCCAGGGCAAAGTTATAACAGACACTATCATCAGAGCTAATTTCATGCTTCTGTAGCTTGTGTAGTTGTACAGAGCCCCACACTCAGATGGGGCCTGCACTTGGCTTAAAACTCAACTGTTGCTGCCTTGAAATTCCTAACACAGTAATTTTTGAGTAAGAGACCCGATATTTTGTTTTGCCCTGGGCCTTGCAAATTATGTGTCTGGCCTTGACCGTCATGCAGTCTCCTGACTCAGCCTTCAAAACAGATTTGAGGATACTGGATTGAGAAATGCCTGCTCAGATTAATGCAGACTTTGGCCTACTCCACAAAATCAGCAAGACAAAAGGCTTCCTCTCCCTCCTGTCAGCTCTTCCCAGGGCCATAAGCATTCCCCTTTAGAGAGCTGGCAGGAACAAATTGGGCAGAATGACAATTGCATTGCACTTGAAGGAATTACATTAGCAACCCCAACTCCAATGTGAATTGAGAGCACAATTGCTCTCATCAGACACCTGAGGTCATACGTGAAATGGTAACAGTCAGATAATAAATAACATCATCCTGCACATAAAACTCAGAGTGACCTTCAGAAATTGTGGCACCCTCCAGTCTCTAAGTCTCTCTCCCCGCTAGCATAAAAATGCTCTCTGCTTTCCTAGGGCCTCCTTCCACAAAACTTCACCAGGATTTGTCCATTTTGGAGAGTACCCCACATTCCAGGTTTCTGCTAGCTCCCTCCCACTGGTGTGATATCCTACCTTGTTTTAACCTGAATTGACTCTCCCTTAGCTGAGAGAGCCAGAGAGACTCCATTTTGGCTCCTTCACTTACAGCCCCTTACCCACTCCCCTTCCACAAGGACTTAACTTGTGCAAGCTGACTCCCAGCACATCCAAGAATGCAATTACTGATAAGATACTGTGGCAAGCTATATCCACAGTTCCCAGGAATTCGCCCTGTTGATAGTACCCACAGCGCCCACGTTTGTGTACAGTTGATAGCACCCAAAGCCCCCGCATCTATCACCTTGTGATGGATTTAAAGCCCCTGCACCTGGAACTGTTCGTTTTTCTGTAACCATATATCTTGTTAACTTTTTTGCCTGTTTTGCTTCTGTAAGATTGCTTCAGCTAGGCTCCCTCTCCCCTTTCTAAAACAAAGTATAAAAGAAAATCTAGCCCCTTCTTTGGAGCCGAGAGAATTTTGAGCACCAGCTGTCTCTCGGTCGCCAGCAAATAAAGGGCCCCTGAATTAGTCTCAAAGTGTGGCGTTTCTCTATAACTCGCTCGGTTACAACACTGGTACATCAAAATATTCTCCAACTGCTACTGAAAGTCTGAGAGTTACTGAGTAACTGAGAAGGTAAACTGATTGACTAGTTAAAATTCAAGTGTTAATAGTTGGAGATAAACCTGGCCTTGAAAGAGACACACAAATAACTGGCTGCATCCCCTTCTATTTCTGCCCGTGTGATGTGTCAATTCCTGGGCCACAGACACTCTAGTCGGCACGCCCACCCCAAATTTCTCTCTCAGAGATTGACTGACTGATATTTTCACAACTGGAAGTCTTTAGAGGGCCCATAATATGAACTCCTAGTAAAATACAAATTATCAGAGCAAAAGAGCAGGCTAAGTTACACACCACAGCAGTCTCTTGCACTCCAGTGTAAGTTTATCAGATGTTTTCTGTAATCTAAATTTTGTAATGATTGCAGTGCTATAAGGAGCAGAGGAAAGAAGGACAGGAAGGAAGAACTGAGCTCGCAATGCTTCCCTAGCAATTTAATTAAGTCTTTTCAGTTAGATCATTCCTCTTCTCTGAATATCTATTGCAAATGTCCTGTAACTTCCTTGTGTCACCCACTCCTCCACCATGGCTTCCTCTCCTTCATTTTCAGCAGAAGATTGTGTTTCCCCACCACCCCCACACCAAACCCAGGGAAAAGATAAGCTAACAGGCAGATCTTCCTGTCACCAAACACACAGATCTACCTTCAACTTCATCCTCCCAATCCAATGAAGACTTCATCTAATGTCTCTTCGGTATGAGTGCACACTTCCTCCCTGGAGCCTTCATATAGGTAATTAAATATTTCGAGCTTTTCATTTTAAAAACCAAGTACTCATGGTGGCAACCATACCCTCGCCTCACTCACCTCATAATATATGGTCCTAAGGCCACTCTGTCTTTTACAATTAAGCACTCTAAAGATATATTTCCACCCACTTTGTCCACTTTCTGCCTTCGCACTGACCAGGTTCATTTTAACCTCCACCACTGGCTTTGCCCCATCTTCCATAGTATGGCTTCACTAAGGTGGCCTCCATGCCAGTCAGTATGATGGACACTTTCCAGTTTCCATTTAACCTGATTTTTGGGCACATTTTGACATTGACTAGCAGACTCCACTTCTTGACATACTTTCTTCTTTTTTTTTTTCCTTACTTTACTCTGGCCAGTGTCTGAGCCCCTTTTTCTAATTCTGCCTCCTTTACACTAAAACGTTTGGAATTTTTCAGGGCTCAGCCCTAAGCATTATTCTCTTCTTATTTTATCTTTTCTGAGTAACTTTAGCACATATGCTCCTATGATTTTACTTACCTTCTTTTCTTTCTTTTCTTTTTTTTTTTTTGAGACAGAGTCTCGCCCCATCACCCAAACTGGAATACAGTGGCACGATCTCAGCTCAATTCAACCTCTGCCTCCCGGGTTCAAGCGATTCCTCATTCTCCTGCCTCAGTATCTTGATATCTCCCCCCGAGTATCTGGGATTACAGATGCCCACCACCATGCCCGGCTAATTTTTGTATTTTTAGTAGAGCACGGTTTCACCATGTTGGCCAGCCTGGTCTTGAACTCCTGACCTCAGGTGTTCTGCCTGCCTCTGCCTCCCAAAGTTCTGGGATTACAGGCATGAGCCACTGCGCCTGGCCCAAATATTTCTTTTCAGAACAAACCTATCTTCTACATTCTAGGCTCATAGGTAACTTTATAGATGCATCCACTGAGAAGTCTCAGAAACCTGAAACTCAGCGTCTAAAACTAACGTCTTTCCCCAAATATCTGTTCCTCTTTTCCCTGCAGAATCACTTATTTCAGTAAATAATGCCACCATTCACTTCATGGCTCATGCCAGAAATATAAAAGTGACTCTTAACTCTTCCCACTCCTTCAACCCTCACTTCTAATCTATCACTAAATCATGGTGACTCTGACTTCCAAATAACTCTCAACAAGATTATACCGTTTCTGTATTCACCATCGCCACCTTAGACAGTGCCACCATCATTTTCACTTTGCCTATGGCAATAGCCTCTAACCAGCATCACACCCCTGAGATTTTATTCCTCCAACCCAATCTTTACTTACAAGTCAGGTACATCCTTTTCAAATGCTAATCTCCAACACTTCTCAATTTAGAACCTAACCTAATTTAGCAGTATCCTGTTACTTTCAGTAATGGTCTGAAACCATAGTCCAGGCTGTAACGCCTTGCATAATACAGACTCAGTTCCTGCCTCAACTTGTGCCATTGTGGCCCTCAATGCTCCAGAGGATGAAACCTTGCAGATCACCTGCTGCTCTTCACTTTAGGGACTTTGCCATGCTCTTCTATTTGCTGAAACAAACAAACAGACAAACAAAACTCTTCATCCTAACCTTCACCTGGCCACATCCTATATATCCTAAAGAAAGACACTTAAATATCACATCTGATAAGCCTACCTAGTTATTCCTATAGGACTCAGGCTATATATTTTTACAATACCTTGTACTTCTCCCTTTATTACTTGCCACAGTTTTAATCATTTGCATAACATCGACCCCACCTACTGTCCTTAGACAAAAGCTCCAAGAGACAAAGATTATGTCCATCTCGTTTATTTTTGACAAACTTTTACTTAGCCTTACATCATACACAAGGAAGAAATTTACTAAATATGTGTTAAGTGAATGAATGGATAAATGGAAACTGCAATTATTAAAACTCTACTCTTGGCCGGGCACAGTGGCTTACCCCTGTAATCCCAGCACTTAGGGAGGCTGAGATGGGTGGATCACCTGAAGTCAGGAGTTCAAGAGCAGCCTGGCCAACATAGTGAAACTCCGTCTCTACTAAAAATACAAAAATTAGCTGGGTGTGGTGGCACATGCCTGTAATCCTAGCTACTTGGTTGGCTGAGGCAGGAGAATCCCTTGAACCCAGGAGGCAGAGGTTGCAGTGAGCTGAGATCACGCCACTGCACTCCAGTCTGGGCAACAGAGTGAGACTTTGTCTCAAAAAATAAATAAAATAAAATAAAATCCCAGTTTTGAATTTTGTAAGGTAAGACCACATGTTTGGCTTCAGACTGAGAGTTCAGCTCCTGGAAATAGCAGAGGGAGGATTACATATGCCTAGGAAAAATGAAATATCTGGTTTTATAAAATTTTGTCAGCTTAGAAATGGCCCTAGTTTCACACTTTAAGTGTACATAGCTGTGCTGAGGCATCTCTCCAAAGACATGACTGTAATAAGTCTACATGGCTCAGGCAGCCTCTGTGATGGCAAGTGTTTTGTTTCTAGGATGAATGGGTTTGCATTACTTTTATGCATGCCATGAAATTAAATCCCAAGACCTCACAAGCTCAGAATTCACCCTGTCAAATCACACACAAGTCTGAGGAGGCTGAGCTTTCTTATCCACAATCCTTTCACTTATGATACATATTGCAGTTAGTTATATATATGGCTTTTCCATTAATTTGCTATTACATTTCTTTTCTCTGTTTTGTTTTACGCTCTTTTCCTTTGAAATTGGAGACAACATCACTTCCAAAGTGTTCTAGTAATAAAAGAGCTTTTATTTTAAAAAGTAGAAATATTTCATTTCATGAAATTAGATGTTTATAGCATTGACTTCTCCTTTACATTTATTATACTATTTTCTTTCAGCTCTTTCTTAGAGGATTAATTATACATGGTATGGGGAATTTGCAAGTTTCACTGCATCAACCTGTTTTCTGTGGTATAATGATGGCAAAAAATGATAGGGAAATATGATATTTTATAGTACTGCTTTGCCTCCAAAAAACGAGAAGGATATGCAACATATTTCTTGGTCCTATATATAAAATGTCTCTGTTCTCAAATCAGTAAACTATAAATTAATGAAAATATGGGACTAAATTATGTGTGCTTATTAATTTAGATCACAATGCTTGTGTCCAAGAAAGTGCTAATAACTATTCTTGACAGACATAAATACTCAGATTATTGTCATGGAACAGAACAAGCAACGTAGCTTATTAACACCATTTTTCCAATTTTTTTCTATATCCTTGCTTATTTCTTCTTTTATTTAGTGGAATTTTGCTTGTTTATGGTCATTTGTTTGACCATGCCTGTTGTTTGTTTTACAGCTGTACTTGTAAAAACTCAGGCAAAAATATCCCTTTCTCTGGTTACTTGTATCAGTGGTTCTGATCTTCTTACAAATACTTTAAAACATTAGTGTTGACATTGACCCATTCAAAGTCTATAACACTGTCTTGCTTTTTTCTCATTTCTAGAAAGAATTGAGAAGCCACACATAGTCTCAATTATGCAGGCATCTGTCTGCTTCCTCCAAGGAAGATTGAGACATCTTAAGATAATTTTCTACAGCATTGAAAGCACTTAGCATTTAGTTATATATTTTGTTGCATTTTTCTTTGATTTCATAGATAGCAGAAAATTGAACTATAGACACGAGAAGGCAATTTATAAAAGGAACACAGAAAAAAATTGTATATATTGAATTGATGACTTCCCCAGTAATGAAGAATTATTAAGATAAATTTTATATCATTTTAACCTATATATTGACAAATCTTAATGCAAATTATAAGGAAAGAACTTAGATAAAAGACAGGGATTCTGGAAATGTTTGGAGAAAGCATCATACTTTCTCTTCATTCTAAACAAGAATACCTCTGGCTCACCTGTCCAAATGGCTGAGAAAGGCAGTAGATTCCCAGATCGGACAGAAGTCTTTAGCTCTGCAGGTTGAGGAATCCTTAGGAAGAAACTTGTGAAGGGCTATCCTGCCATGGGCTTGGTGAGATCATGGTAAGATAGCCTCTGAAAAAAGATTGTGGGGATACTGGAAAGGACTTGGTCTACAGAAATATGTGAACTGCTGGGGAATTGGGAAAACAATGAACCTGAGTGTGTGTGGGGGGTGGGGAGGTGCGCGCGCACATGCGTGCATGGGCCTTGTTTCCTTGGCCTTCAAAATACAAGTCAGAGCAGAAAAGTTGAATTGAGTTATCCCTACTCCAGAGGCTAAGAGAGTAGGAGAAATCCAGGTCATAGTCAGGAATTTTCCTCCTGCCCTCTTACTGTTATAGGTTTAGCCACAGAAGAAGATGGTGATTTAACTTCCGTTTCCTCTGAGAGTTCTTCCACTTTGGATGCTTCAGCAACCAAAGGTGATTCCTAAAGAGATCACAGGAAAACATCATAATCACACATACTTGGAATCCAAGCAGCCAGCAAGGGGAGGTTAAATAGGGCAATCACCAGGCAAAAACCAATCAACAAATTCACCAACCAACAAATAATCAACCAACTCACCAACCAACAAATAATCTCTGATGGAGACAGCTGAGGTTTCAAGCAATAATATAGGACAACAATATGGTAAAAAAAAAAAAAAAAAAAAAAAAAAACAAAAAAAAAAACTGCAATGATTGCAGCTCAGCACAAAATAAGACTTCCTAGAATAAAAATTTAATTTAATTTTTAAAAATCTACTTTTATTCATTTAGGGGTACAAGTACAGTTGTGTTACATGGATATATTGCATAGTGGTGAAGTGTGAGCTTTTAGTGTACCCATCACCAGAACCATATCTATTATACCCAATAGGTGGAAAATTCAGTAGGTGAGTTGAAATATGGAATGATTATTGTTACAACTAAAACTAGTGGCCTGAAAAGGTGAACGAAAGAATATTATCTCAAAGTACAGACCAAAACATGAAAAAAGAGAAAATTTGAAGGGAAAGCTATGAAATCTGGAGGATCCATTTCAGAAACTTAGCATCTAAGTCACAAGAGTTTTAGAAGGTGAAAAGGAAACGTTTTATACAAAGGAAACTGTGTGATGGGAGATACACAATAACTATCTTAATGACTGAAGGATGCTTCCATTAACTGGAGAAAGATTGGCTTGTACAGAATGAAAAAACTGCATTAAGCTTCTTGAAGTAGTAATGAGAAAGATATATGCTAACAAGATTCTTGACCTCGTAAGGATAAAGAGAAAAATATATGGAAACTTCTAGATGGAAAATGTGAGCTCCTAAAAATAATTCAAATGGAATCAGACATGTTTTTGAACTATTGAAAAGTAAATGACAGTAAATTCCACTTGCAGATTGCTGAGAGAAAAGGATAATATCAAAAAAAGTATATCTAGTAAAAGAAAGATAGGTATGTGTGGTTAGATGTTGATTTCAACTAAACCACTTGAGAAAAATACTTGAGAAACACATCAGTGAAAAGACAGGTAATTCACAGCTGAGAATTCAAACTATCAGTAATTGAAGAAAATGGATTGTAATGAAAGGGAGATTATGATAGCCTAGAACAAATTGAACTATCTTGGGGAGACTTAGGAGTTGGGTTAAGGTGGAGGAGAAGATGTAAAAGTATTTCACAGATCTCATCAACAGTAGAGAAGATGAGGTGGAGTAAGAAAGACTATTGTAAGACATCATCTTATTGTATGGGGTTAAATTGTGGTTTATAAGGAGCATCTTGGTGGTTCTCCATTACACAAATAGGCAGCATTGTGTTTTCACATAATAACAGAGAACTGTGTGTATAATTACAAATGATGGGGAAAGTAATTTCACTACTAAAGGAATGAAATAATAGAAGAGAACATACTAATTTAAAAGGGGAAAATAGAGTGATTGGCAACCACTAGAATGTAAGTTCTATAAGGGCAGATATTTTTGCCTTGTTTGTTCTCTGATACATCTTAAGATTCTGGAAAATCTTGGCACATAGAGGAGACTCGATACACTTTTTTTAATGAAAAAGGGAAACTACAAATTAAGCCATGAAATAAGATCAAATGAATACAATTAAGCATACTGTTTATTAAATTCCAATGATATACATGATATACATGTATATGTACACACACACACACACACACACACACACGCACAAGACAAATGGATTGATTATAACTGTTAACCCAGCATTCTATACCCAGGAAAAACAAAACTATTTTTATTTTTATTTTTATATAATACAAGGTAAAATATAATATTTTCAGATAAAATAACACTAAGGAAACTTTTCCTGAAATATGCACTACAAGAAGTGCCAAACTAAGTTCTTTAGGGTGAAGGGAAATATTGCCAAATGAAAACTCAGATCTTCAAGAAGTAATGAAAAGTATCAGAAATGATAAATATCTGGCATAAATTGTTATAGGCATCGTTACTATTCAGGTAGGCGAATTGATCAGTCTTTCCCTTATTATTTCTTCTATTTTTATTTTTAGTTTTTAAATAGATTCCATTACACAAAGATGTTTTAATATTAACTACACTTGCATCCTAAATTTTTGTGTCCATTTTGGTAAGTTGTGTTTTTCAGGGAGTTTATTTCTTTCATCTGCATTGTTGAATTTGTTGGCATACATTTGTTTTATAATATTACTTTATTAACCTTTTATAATGCATGTAGTTACGTCCCTCTTTCTTTAGTATTGTTAATCTGTGCTTTTTGTCTTTTTATTGATGTTCGGCTAGAAATTTATCAAGTTTATCAATTTATGTAAGAACCTACATTTAGTTTTGTTCATGTTACTATTATTTGTCTGTTTTCTGTTTAATTTTATTTGTTCTTATTTTTTTATTTCCTGTCTTTGATTGAATCTGTTTTGTTTCTTCCTGAGGTGGAAGCTTAGATAAATTATTTTAAACATTTCCTTTCTTAAATATGTGCATTTAAATCTATGTGTTTGTTTTTAAGCACTGACTTAACTTCATCCCATACATTCTAAAGTGGTTATTTTTCAATTCAAAATATTTAATAATTTTCATTGTGAATAAAACAACAATAGCTTTATTAAGATATATTTGACTCATAATAAAATTAATCCTTTTTGGTATAAAATGCCCAGAAGTACAACCATCATTAAATCTAATTTCAGAATATTTTCATCACCCCCAAAAGAAATCTTGTCCCAATTAGCAGTCATTTCCTATTCCTTCTTTCCTGCAAACGCTGGCAACTGCTAATCTCTTTCTGTTTCTGTGGATTTGTCTATTCTGGACATTTTATATTAATGTAATCATACAATATGCACTGTTTTGTGACTGGCTTCTTTCACTTAGCACAACGTTTTTGAGGTTCATTCATGTTGTAGCATCTATCAGTACTTCATTTTTATTGCCAAATAATATTGCATTGTATATAGCTCATATTTTCTTTATTCTTCATCTGGCAGACATTTGGGAATTTCCTTTCTTGACTACCATACATAATGCTGCTATGAACATTCATACACAGGTTTTTGTGTGTGTGTTGGCCCATATGGTTTTATAAGTGTGTTGCCTAATTTACAAGCATCTGGGATATTTTTTGATTATCTTTTAACTATTGATTTCTAGTTTAATTTCATTGTGATCAGAGATCAGATTATATAAAACTTAAATATTTAAAATTTATTAAGTCTTAGCTTATTTTTTTACTACTCTATGTCTGCCTGAAATTAATGTTTATTCTGTTATCTTTGAGAGTAGGGTTCTATAAGCATCAGTTAGTCCAAACTCGTTAATAGAGATGTCCCAATCTTTTACATATGTATATATTCTTTGTCTACTTGTAGCAATTACTCAAACAGAATCAACTTTTTTCTTCAATTATTATTAGAGATGATGTATTTATATGCTTTTCTGTTTTCTCATTAATTTTTTGTTTCAGTATTTTTAGGCTATGTCACTAAATGTATACAAACTTTTATTATGTCTCCTTTATAGATTGACCTTTTTGACATTATAAAATTATCATTTTGAGTAATAGCCTTTATCTTGAAGTCTACTTTATCTGATACTAACATAGTCACACTGGCTTTCTTGTTATTAGATTTCCCCTACGATTAGTTTTTGCCTTTTTTTTTCGTCTTTTTACTTTCAACGTATCTCCCTCTTTCTAGTTAAAGTGGATGTCTTATAAACAGCCTTTTTTTTATTATTATACTTTAAGTTCTAGGGTACATGTGCACAACGTGCAGGTTAGTTACATATGTGTACATGCGCCATGTTGGTGTGCTGCACCCATTAACTCGTCATTTAACATTAGGTATATCTCCTAATGCTATCCCTACCTCCTCCCCCCACCCCACAACAGGCCCCGGTGTGTGATGTTCCCCTTCCTGCGTCCATGTGTTCTCATTGTTCAATTCCCACCTATGACTGAGAACATGCGGTGTTTGGTTTTTTGTCCTTGCGATACTTTGCTGAGAATGATGGTTTCCAGCTTCCTCCATGTCCCTACAACGGACCTTTTTCTTTTAAATGCAACCTAACAATCTCTACCTTCTAACTGAAATGTTTATCCACATACACATATTAGTAATATATTGCTGCCTAACAAATTACCACAAACTAATAGCTTAAGACAACACACATTTGTTATCTGTGTATGAGGAGTTTGTGCGTGGCTTAGTCTGGTCTTCTGCTGAGAGCTTTACAAGGTTGCAGTCAAGGTGTCAGCAATGTTGTGTTCTCATCTGGAGGCCCAATTGGGAAAGAATCCACTTCTGAGCTTTCTCAAGGTGTTTGCAGAATTTGTTTACTTGTAGTTACAGGAATGAGGGTTGTGGCTTTTTGCTGGTTGTTGATTGGAGGTTGCTCTAGCTCCTAGAGGTTTCTATCGGCTCCTTAACAAGTGAGCCTCCCAATATGGTCACTTAGTCTTCAAACCTAGCTAGGGAGAGAGAGTCTATAGAGCAAGTGTGCTAACAATAACAAGGTGGGTTTTTGTGTAACATAACATAATCATGGGAGTGGAACCTCATCATCTTTGCATATTCATTAGAAGCAATTTATAGGTCTCCCACACTCAAGAAAGGGGTAGGTGGATCATACCAGGGCATGAACACCAGAAAGCAGGCAACATAGAGGTCATCAGAGAATCTACTGTCACGTTAATGTAGTTGCTGTAGTGACTTGTTTACATCAACCACCTCACAACTCGTTTTCTCTTCCATATGTTCTTTCTTCTTTTCTTTCTCTTTTTCTATCTTTTTAGAATTTATTGGAAACTTTTCATATTTCATTTTATGTTCTCTATTGCATTGTTAGCTCCATTTCCTTGAATTCTATTTTCAGAGATTATTTATGCTAGATATTAAAATATGTATTCTCTGTGGCTAGCAGCAGGGCTCATCAATTCATGCCTGGACATAATATAGGGCTTGGGCAGTCCAGCTAGCTCCTTTGGGTTGGAATCCATAACTTTTTGGTGTGTTTCAGTGGGAAGTATAAAGCAAGTATCTTGATTTCTAAACCCAGGAATTTTAGAATTGACCCCTATGATCAAAGAATTTTGGAGCTTTATAAGTTCTTTGGCAGTGGTGATCTCAAACCAATTATGATCTCCAAACTCCCTTCTCAGGTAACTGTTGGGAGCAATGGCATCCCAGTTTGTCCCTGGAATGGCTGGAAAGGGTACGATCTTGTGAATAGATCACTTTAAAAAACTGTTTTATTTGCTTATTAGCCCTGTATCTCTTTAAATTTTGTTTGTTTACAATGACGTGCTTTATTGGCCACAAATTCTTAGTGTGATGTTTCCCGACAGTACCTTTAGTAGATTATTTTACAATCTATCCATCAATATATATGTTATAAATATATATTATATATATTGAATCCTGAGTTCATCACAGTATACCTTGAATTGATAGTTTACCATTTTACAAATAATGTAAGAATTGCACAAAAACCATCCTCCATTTAACCCCTCTCACTCTTTCTGTGAAGATTGGCATATATTCTTCTTCTAGTTATATTATAAACCATACAATATTTTCCTACTATATTTTCTTTCTTTCTTTCTTTCCTTCTTTTTCTTTCTTTCTTTCTTTCTTTTTCTTTCTTTCTTTCTTTCTTTCTTTCTTTCTTTCTTTCTTTTCTTTCCTTTCTTTCTTTTTCTTTCTTTCTTTCTCTCTTTCTTTCCTTTTTTTTTTTTTGAGATGGAGTTTCCCTCTTGTTGCCCAGGCTGGAGTGCAGTGGTGCAATCTTGGCTCACTACAACCTCCGCCTCAGGGGTTCAAGCGATTCTCCTGCCTCAGCCTCCCAGGTAGCTGGGATTACATGCATGCACCACCACGCCTGGCTAATTTTTTGTATTTAATAGAGAGAGGGTTTCACCATTTCGGTCAGGCTGGTCTCAAACTCCTGATCTCAGTTAATCCACCCACCTTGGCCTCCCAAAGTGCTGGGATTACAGGCATGCTATATTTTCTTAAAAGAATCAATCATCTCTTAATGAAATTCTTAGAAAGCATTTTTACATGTATTTATTATTACTTTGACTCTTCATTTCTTCTTTCAAAATTAGTCTTCTGGAATCATTTCTCTTCAGACATAACTTCGTTTAGTATTTATCATAGTGCACATTTCATGATGATGAATTATTTCACCTTTTTCTGAAATATATTTTTTCCTTTTAGTTTTAGAAGATAATTTCACTGGTTATAGAATTCTAGTTATATGCTTCCTTTTCAGCACTTTAAAAACTTTATGCTATTGTCTCCTAGGTTTTGTAATTTCTGATGATAAATATTCTTATTTTTGTTTCATTGAATGGAATTACCCTATTGTATCTGGCTAGTTTAAATATGTTGTCTTTATCTTCGGTTTTCAGCAGCTTGACTACAATGTAGTAAATTGTAGGGTTTTAAAATGTTTATTTGTTCTCCTGTCTCTGTGTCCTGATGTATTTTGTTAATTTTGTGAAATCTTCAGCTATTATTTCCTAAATATTGCCTCTGGGCTATTCTTTTTTTCCTCTCATTTTGGAACTCCCATAGAGCAAATATTAAAACACTTGATATTGTTTAACAACTTCAGACTGTTTCTGTTTTTCCCTTTTCTATTTTTTTCCCTTTTCTATTTTTTTCCAATTGTGTTTCATATTGGATAATTTGTGCTATGCTTTACTTAAATTCACTGACTCTTTCCTCTGCTGATGCATTCTGTTTTTAAGCCCACAGGCTGAATTGTTGCTCTCTACTTTATGATTTTTAAAATTTCCATTTGGTTCATTTTTATGTTACTTCTCTCTGCTGAAAGTCCTCTGTTCACATTTGTTATCTAACTTTTAGATGGGTTATTTTAAAGTTCTTTTCTGGTAATTTCAATAGCTGAGCCTTCCATACATCTCCCTATATAGGTGGTTTCTTTTTATGACTATAGGTTACATTTCCTTGCTTGTTCACCTGCGTGATAAACATTTTATTTTATGGCAGACATGACACATTTTAAAAACCAGTAGAGACAGAAATAAATACCTTTTTACCCCCATAGGCACCTGTATCGAGGAACTTTTCTTTTGAATCTTAGCTGGAATTGAGCTGGGTGGGAACTGGGACATAGCTTTAATATTTTCTCTTTTCCTCTGATTTGAGCTATCATGACTGTGAGGTCAGGATCCTTCCTCCCAAAGAGTTCTTCATCCCATGCTCCATGAAAATACAAGATGTCTTTCTGCTTTCTGGCCTCATCACTAGAAGCCACTTACTCTAGTTGGTAGAATTAACTTTGCTTATGGGATGTTTTCACCCACACAGTCCTTATAAGTTTGACTATACATATACATATACATATACATATACATATACATATACATATACATATATAATTTCTAGTCTTAGAAAAGTCTCTCTAACTATGGCAACTGGTTTTATACCAATATTGGACCACTGCCCCATGGTACAAAAATTGCTATTGGTCTTTACTTACCTAGAAGAAGCACACATCTTTCTGGAATTTATATACTCATCTATCTTTATGCTTGCACTGATATCATATTGCTCAGTGATTGTGGTTTTAAGATAGTTTTAAATCACCAGTAGGCCATATTTCTTCTTTTTAAGATTATGTGTATTAGTTAGTTTCATAGTCTACTTTTTTGCGGAGGTGGGCAGGAAAACTCTTGATTATCTTATCCATATTATATTAAGCATATAATAATATAAAATGGCATTCTAATAATATTGAGTTATTCTGTCTAGGAATGTAGCATTCTGTATTTGAATATTTTTGATTTCCAGTGTAGAGAAACATCACGTGATATATATGGTTGTACTAGTACTTGATGAGAATTACTACAGCACAACTGTAAAGGATGCGGACTCCTTTACAGGAGGAATAAGGCTTAATAAGGCTTAAGGGATCAAATCCCATCTCTACTTCCTTGCCACTCAATTTTGGATCATAGTAAGTCCTTCCTTCACATCACTGATAGGTTCTTGGAAACTGCCACTTTAACCAAACAATGTACACCCCATCCTCAAATAACATTGTTTCTTTTCATGCTTTTTGTTATGACATAGATGAGAAAAATCATTGGTTGCATTATACCTCATTTCACCTAAAGTTGCAGTTTCTGAGAGCCTATCAACGACATGAAGTGAGGTCTTACTATAGTTAACGAATTCTAAGTTTCCCCAAGTGTAAAATGTACAGAATAATAGCACCCACTTCATACACAACCTGACTGTGAAGACTGAGTTCCTGCATCAACAGCACATATGATAGCACCAGGCACACAGAGAATGGTCCGGCGAACATTTGTTTTTATCATTATTACACTTTTTTCCAATGCATTATCATCAAGAAAATGAATCTTTTTTTAGGTAGCTTTTGAGGAAAAGAAATGAACCTTCACTTCTAAAGTCCTCAGCTAATGTCTATTGGGTTTCATTGGCCCAAATTGAGTTATATATTTTTCCCTGAATGTGATATGTTGGTTATGGTCTGATCTTTCTCATACCTGTAGTGAATAGTGGAGTTAGCTTAACTACAAGTCTTAAGTTTCCTCTATTTGCCCCAGGAAAATTTTTATAGTTGTGCTTGTATTTACATATTTACATCATCTACCTAGAAGGTGCATGTGTTTTTATATTTTCTTACTAGATGTCCTTTTTTTTTGAAAGGGAGTCTTGCTCTGTTGCCCAGGCTGGAGTGCAGTAGTGCCATCTCGGCTCACTGCAAACCCCACCTTCTGGGCTCAAGAAATTCTCCTGCCTCAGCCTCCTGAGTAGCTGGGATTAGAGGAGCCTGCCACAAGGCCCAGCTAATTTCTGTATTTTTAGTAGAGATTAGTAGAGACGAGGTTTCACCATGTTGGCCAGGCTGGTCCCAAACTCCTGACCTCAGGTGATCTGTCGGGCTCAGCCTCCCAAAATGCTAGGATTACAGGCATGACCCACCATACCTGGCTTTTATCTTTTTTTTTTTTTACAGCCATTGATATCTTATTTTCAGAATTGTATTCTGAAGATCTCATACATATAAAATGAGGAGGCCTTGTATTATGACATTCTGAATTGCTAAAATACTTAAAATATTAACAATTCAGTTTCTATTGAGATAATACTATTATTGAATGAGTTATTTTCAGTGGCTATCTCATCCAGATTCTGACAATGTTCTTGCTGCCTCATGCTTTCTTCCCATGGACTAAATCTGCTTCATAAAAATGCAGGTTCCCTACATAAAAGAACTAGATAGGTTATGTTATCAAACATAATACTACCCATTATAGTTATTTATTTGAATCTCAATATAAAGTGCTATAATAAATCTTTCTAACAGTGCTTTTAAAAATATTTTATTTTTAATTAACAAGTAATAATTATATACAATGTTAGATACAATATGCTTTATATTGTACAGTGATTGAATCAGGCCACCTCACATCATTTCTTTGTGTTGAGAACACTTAAAATTTACTTTTACCAATCTTGAAATATATATCTAATAGTTTTTCTAATTTTATAAAAGGCACGACTCATCTGTCCTTTGTACATTGATGAATTATATGAAAAGCAAAGAAGCAAACTAAATATGATGAGACTGGCAATAAGAATGATGGAGTTTATATCTTTAGTTATTTTTCTTCATCAAGCTGATATGGTATCAAAACTCATTTCACAGTCATAGAATGAAATTAGCTTATTGCACTGAATTCAAAGAAGCCAATTCCAACCAACATTTTAAGTTTATTTTACATCCAAGTTAATGGTCACTTAATTTTCTTAAATGGTCATCTTGTTCTGTTTATCTTAGTCTTACTGATGTGAACTGATGTTTGCTGTAACATCTCACTGACTATTCTTCCTTCTTTGAATCACTTTATTCTTTGATCCCAATACTCTTCCTTAGAACCTAGTATACTAGAATGTAAGAGCAAACTGTCCGAATGTAGTGAAAGGAGACAAGACTTGAGCTTCTTTTTGAAGCAATTCAGCTGTTGACTCACCCTACAGTAAGAGGCAGAGTGTGAGAATATTGCCTAGAAGGTGACAATATAATTCACTTTTCTGAAGTATTGTAAGATGGAATTAACTCTCTCTCTCTCTGTGTGTGTGTGTGTGTGTGTGTGTGTGTGTGTGTGTGTGTGTGTGTGTGTGAGAATTACAGGTAGCTTCTAGATAAAAAAGAAAGAGGCTTCCAGAACACTGTCACTGAGAATTTGTCTTTTCCATAGTATACGTTATAGTGAAAATGACTATAAAGTAGAAACTTTTAATAATAAAAAATAAACTTTATAGGCTGCAATTATAATTTAGAATGTCAATATGAAATACATTTTTATTAACTGTGACTTTTTATAACACAAGATATATTTCTGATGTGGCATTTAAGTAAGAAAAGCAAAACATTTTAGTGTCATTTTATCCCTCCAATGAAAGACACAAATTACACTCAGGAAGACATGGAATTCTTAAAAGTAGTTAAGTGGGTGTTTGTCTTCATGAATTTCAAATACTAGTAAATAAAACTGTGCCTCCATTCATATTATTGCATATCTTTCATCAAAGCAGCAGCAAATAAAATTTTTAGTTTTTTATTTGTAAATGTTTTTCAATCAAACACAAGAAATCAATTATCAATTTGTGTTTCCTCTTTTTTTTCTTCATTATTCTGGCTAAACATGCATCAATTTTATTGACATTATCAAAGAAAGAACCAACTTAAAAAAAATTGTCGCTGATTTAATGTTTTTAGTTTCATTGATTTCCGTCCTAATTCTTACTATTTCTTTTCTTCAGCTTGCTTTAGGCTTATATTGCTCTTCATTCTCTAGTTTTCTAAGGTGGGCACTAGACTATTGATTTTAGGTTTTTCTTCTTTTCTAGCATATGCATTCAATGCTGTATATTTCTACGTAAGCACTGCTGCTCACAATGTTAAATTACACAATTTGTAAAAATTACACAATTTGTAAGTATGGCATGTCTATTAGTTCTGATCCACAAATTGGAGTTTTCCAAATTGAAGCCTTCTCTCCTGTTGTGCAGTGTGTCTATTACCTGTTAAAATCTTTAGTCCCTACATTCATCATTTAGAATCATAAAATCTTAGATATATAAAGATACAATCCTTCCCATACATATATTCCAATGATTAAACTAATACCCAGAGTAGTAAAATTACTTGCAGGGAGTTATCCAGTGGCTCCATCCCCTCTTACAGTGATTTCTATTGAGGACAATTGACCCATAATATCCAGGAGATAGTGAGCTTCATTTAGAACCCGGTCTAGAGGTTGCCAACTTCACAGTACCCAGAAGCTGTATGGAGCTTAGTTACAATTTTAAAATATATGGCGCTCAGTAACTACAAAATGCCAGCCAAGCCAGTGATACAAGTGAGGATGGAGATATCGATACTGAATGAAAGAATGAATTTTTCTAACTCATCATTCTGATGTCATTTCTTCATAGCAGAGCATAAAATAAATACAAATACATTAAATTGTACGGTGGACTAATGGATGCGGTGGGTTTCTTTTCACCTTATTTATCTCCTGGAACTTACCTCCATACATGTACTAATTAAACGTCCTAACTGAGAGCAGGGGCTCTAAGATCTATCATGAAAGCATTGCCAAAAAGAAGACTCGGTGCTTGGGGCCCTGGAGACAGCTGAAAAGACAAGTCAAGGAAACTGGATGGCAGAAGGGAATACTGAATGCAAATTTCTTCTAACTGATTTTAAAATAAACTTCTATTAATTTTATCTATAATCTGTATAAAACTTGGTAAAGGATAGAATGATGAAACATTTTTATGAACCACGACATTTAAACACTTATTTATACAACTTTCTGAAGTACTGTATTTTCATTTACAGATCAGTCCCACAATTTCACAAACAAATGTGTTACTCCTTGCTAACGACAGCAATTAAAGTATATTGTATCACACGGATCAAACTTGAAAGTGCCTTATCTAACAGGACATTTTATAAAATATCTTATCTCATTGCATTGGTGGAAAAATTCTTCAAGAATGTATAAAATATACCTTTTTATCCTAATGCATTACACAATTTAATAAAAGGAAATAAAATATCTCCAATAGTTTAACTTTTTCACATATATATCTTTCAATTCTTGTGCAGAAATTCAATCACTATCTTAAGGGAACACTATGTAGTGTTTATGTGGATTATTTCAGATACTTATGACTTTCAAGTGAAAAGAGAATCTCAAACTATAGAAAAGGTGGTTTTCAAAGCATAACAATGATGAGAATGGTAAGATCACTGATACTGTAAATGCAACCATAATTCTTTTTTTCACAGGACTATTTTCATAATAGTAGAATATCAAGTAATCTCTATTAGGATTCAAAAGGATTAGAGAAATAAGTGTTTGGTCCAAAACAAGAATATTTTAAAACATACTATAAATTATAGTCAGCAAAAATACAAAGTTAGTGTAAAATTAATGTAATGGAGACATAACCCTTTATGTTAAAAGTGAGCAGTTGCTTCTCATTCTGTTTCTGCTTTCCATAAATTGTAACCTCCATCAACCCAACAGAAAAACTACTTAACAAAGAGTTTAATTCCTTCTTCTTTCCTTCTCTGTGTGGATTTGGGAAATCAGTCTTATTTTCCCGGACATCACCCCTCCCTTTATAAAGTGATAACGATAACAGTTTCTTAGTGAGGATTGTTAGAGACAGTGTCAATGCAGCACTTAGCATAAGACCTGGTACTTTGCCAGTGATAAAAAAATTGGTGGTCACCATAATTAATTGCCATCATTTTTATACATACGTGGAGAAGAGACAAGACCAAGGGGGTGAGAAATAGACACAACTGGGTTCAAATTCTTCTGTGCCTCCTATAATTTTTGTGCTCTTGTAAAAATTAGTTAATTTCTCTCAGTCTACGTTTTCTTATTAATAAATGATGGGCTAATGATCGCCTCTTACAGTGCTGGGTGAGGGTTAAATGAGATTAAAAGTGCAGACCACCTAGTAACAATTAGGTTAATAGGAGAAACTAATACATGTTTTCTTTCTTTATTTTCCCCAGAACTACTTAACAATATACATACTGATCCATTGTGGAATTATTAAGGAAAATACATTGAAATAGGTGGCATTCTTGTCAAAGATATATATGGACGGCTAGATGGATAGATAGGTAAGTAGATAGAAATATTTCATTATTTGCATGTAATTGCACCTTGCTTTTAGGACAAACTGCTACAGGAAAACATGTATTTATAAAAGTCCAACAATGACAAAATTATCAAAGAAATATTTTGCAAAGAGAATAAAAACTATGAATGTACCCCCTGCTTGATGTTCAACAGCTCTTACTACACATTTCAAAGTCAAAGATGGCATGTGGTTTCCTATCTGAAATTGACAGTCACCCTGTTTTCCTTCATTGACCTCTTTTTATAATATAAGTTTTATCCCTTTAAATAGATCACAAGCACTTATCCAGTTCACTCCATAGACAGGTAGCAACAAGAGGAACATTATATTTAACCTTTGCTGGTCAGTAAACTTTGAAATTTTTTTATCTTGAATATAGTATCTAATAAAGTGGGTGGTGGTATTAATGCCAACATTTCTTTTTTTAAACACTCATTACTCTCACTTTAAATACTTTCATGCCACATTTATATTTTTATGTTGTAATCTGCTATGGAAAATGCCTTAACTGAGGTATTTTTGTATATTTACAACTTATAAAGTAGAATATGATTTTAAAAGACAACAAAATACAGTGTTGGGAATTGCAGAAAAATTAATATTTTTGGTTTTGTATTTTTGAAGTCTTAGTACTCAATGCCAACTGTAGATATAGCATTCTTTGACTCTAGATTTCTGGACCAAAAAAAAATGCAATCAAGTTGTGCTTGGCAAAGCATTTTAAATCCATCTTCTACCTCTCTTGCCTAGCCAGAGGTCTCTCAAGAACCACTCAAATTGTTCTTTAGTGGCATGGAGAACATTGTGAGATGGCAAATGCTATATTATTGGATCAAATAAATATCAAGATTAGTGATCTGCACTAGTAATGATCTGGATCGCTGGAGAACTCCATTGCAGCCTAGGAGGCAAGCCAATTAAAAAGAATAATTGCTTTCCCATCCCACTACCAGTTAAGGAGACTCCACACTTTGCAGAATTAAGAGGCAAAGAAGACAATGGGGAGGCAATGGGTTGTCACAGAGCTAATAATCCACACCCACTTACAAAGTCACCAGAATGAGCTTCAGCATCACTATCACATAGGTTGACAGCCATGAACAAGAAATAGATTATTTAAATAAATGTTATCTCCCCAGGAGTTAACCCAGATTGCACTATAAATTCATCCCACAAATAAGCTTGCTTACATGCATGCATGCAAATTTTAAGTGTAAAATTCATTGAAACTTTGTTGATAATAGTAACTTAGTCAAACACTTTTAATAAGCTATATAATCCACTAAAAGTTGACTAGTGAAATTAGAATACACCATAAATAGAATGTCATGTAACTACTAAAAAAAGCTTCACACATATATATATAAAATATATATATAAATAATAAATATAAATATATATTTTATATCATATATTATATAAAAATAAATATTTATTATATATATAATATATAAATATATTATATATATATATAATTGTATACACACACACACACACCCCAAGATAAATTTAAAGATTTTTTTAAGGAAAGAAAAAAAAGTATAGAACTTTTTTATGGCTGCATAATATTCCCTGGTGTATATGTGCCACATTATTGAACAATGAGAACACATGGACACAGGAAGGGGAACATCACACACTGGGGACTGTTGTGGGGTAGGGGGAGGAGGGAGGGATAGCATTAGGTGATATACCTAATGCTAAATGACGAGTTAATGGGTGCAGCACACCAACGTGGCACATGTATACATACGTAACAAACCTGCACGTTGTGCACATGTACCCTAAAACTTAAAGGATAATAATAATAATAAAAAAGAAGTCCTCACAGAATGCCTTTCATTAAAATTGCGTCAGAGTGTAAAAGCATCTTCAGAGAATTCTGCACTTTATCAGTTCTTCTGGGAGGATTTGAAACAAAAAAGCTGTCTTATGAGGCAGGATGATGTATTATAGTAGCTAGGAGTGTGGCCTCTAGAGTCATACTCCCTGGGTTCAAATTCCAGCACAGCCACTTCTCTCTACAGAGCTTTGGACAATTTCTCAAATGTTCTGCACCTGTTTCCTCATCTGTCATAGTCAGATAATAATAGTAGATTCCTTGCAAAGTTGTGAGGATCAAGTGATTAATATAATGCACCTAAGCCATGCCTAGAAGATAATGTTTTGTAAGCATTGATTATTCATGTCTTGGTATTATTATTTTTATCTGCCAATAAAAATACTGAATTATCATGTGTATGTCATTCTAACATGCAGACATAGCAAGTAAAAAAACCATCAATTTATCATCATTAAACCTGTGTTTTATTCTGACTCTATCACCTATGGGGTATGTGACCTTGGGAATGTCACTTCATGTCTCCTGGGGTGATTAAGACACTAAGTCTGACTTCTCCACTGAAAAATGGGGTTCACTCATCTGATTGTCTTGAAAATCAAATGCAATTTTCTTAGAAAGTAAATACCAATGTTGAAATGTTTTATATACACGTGAAATTAGTAATGACAGGAGAAAGTATAACAGTAGAAATAAAAATAAGAGTAAGAAGAGTAATTTATGTTAATCATAGAAAAAAGGAATAAACAGAAAAAATAAAAGAAAAATATTTCATAAATCATAATGTTCACATTGAGTCCTATTTTTGCAAGTATTTTAAAACTTTGCTTATGCTTTATATCATATATTTTGAACAACTGCATAAATGATATCTTGCTATAGTTTTATAGCAAGAAGTCTCGCAAACTTCTTTTATACTTATGACAAGACTTCAGGCTTATTAACTTAATACACATAAGACTGGTTCATTTATTTTAAATTGCAAATAAAATTCCATTATATTAACAAACTCTATTTATTTCTGACCTTGCTGAGGGACAGAATTTATTTTGCTGTTACAAATTGTACTTCAATGAATATCATCTTCACACAAATATCTTTTGCACTTGTGTATAAATTTTATCATGAATACATTCCGAGAAGTAGAATTGCTGGATTTCATGGCATATGTATCTACACTTTTGTTAAATTTTGTCAGATTTCTCTCTGAAGTGGTCATCTGTCTTATTGAGTATAGCAAGCGGAAATATTTGAAAACTCTATATTTTCCCCTGTATATTTATCCTTAAACGGAAGGTCACTTCCATTTAAATTGTATATTCCAGAATATTGTATCTACCACCCTTCACTGTTCATTTGAATTTTGGCAAATTTCTCTTTTAGACTTACATTCTGAGTATTCGTTGACTGTCATAGACTCAAGCCCAATTCCAGCTTCCACATCTCTCAAAATTCTTACTGAACTGACATTTTATTAAAGATGAATTAACAATACTGATTGATTGATTATAAATTCCCTGAATTTATACCTTAGTAGTCTAAGCCAGCATTTCTCGAATCTGTTGGCCTGAAGACATGTTTACACTCTAAAATTTACTGAAGACCCCAAATAGTTTTTATTTATGTAGTTTATTTCTTTGATATCGGTATTGTATTATGATATTGGAAATTAAAGCAGAAATTTTAAAAAATATGTATGTATCAATTCATTCTTAAATAGGAAAGATAAATCAATTATATGCTAACATGAGTAATATACTTTTATAGATAAAATAATTATGTTTTCCAAAACAAGATTTAATGAGAAGCCTGGTTTTCTCCTTTGCAAATGTCTTTAATGTCTGTCTTAATGGAAGAGAGTTAGATTCTCACATCTGCTTCTGAATTCAATTCGCTATGCTATGTTGTTTTCACTGAAGTGTATGAAGGAAATCTGCCCTCACAAAGATGTCTAATTGGAAAAAGATGAAGTCTTTTAATAGTTTTTGCAAATAATTGTAGATATTCTTCTTTGAAAGTAAGTCAAAAAACTCAACAAGCATGGTTTCTTAAAGGTTAACTTCAAAATGGAGTCCGAATCTCTATCATAAATTGTACATTGTGTGTTACATTAAAAATCTATTCTTATCTTGTGCTCAGAATGTATTTTTCACCTATTACTGTGTAGCACTCTTTTTTTTTTTTTTTTTTTGAGACGGAATCTTGCCTTGTTGCCCAGGCTGGAATGTAATGGCGCGATCTTGGCTAATTGCAAGCTCTGCCTCCCGGGTTCACACCATTCTCCTGCCTCAGCCTCCCACGTAGCTGGGACTACAGGCGCTCACCACCACGCCTGGCTAATTTTTTTTGTATTTTTAGTAGAGACGGGGTTTCACCGTTTTGGCCAGGATGGTCTCGATTTCCTGACCTCGTGATCCACCCGCCTCGCCTCCCAAAGTGCTGGGATTACAGGCGTGAGCCACCGCGCGCTGCCTGTGTAGCACTATTATGCGGTAAGGAGTTAATACAGCAGACCTGATTTGCTCCGATTAAAAAGGCTTACTTTCAGGGTTGGGCCTTGGTTCGCATCTGGGAACTTGGCTTTTGAAATGTTCCCTACATTAATAAAACTGTTTTGCCCACCTGGGGCACTGAACAACTGCTTTCCTTTAGGGAGTCTGGAATTTTAGTAGCAGTAGCTGGTCATTGTGCCTACGTGTCCAGCTTCCAGTGAAAACTCTGAACTCTGAGTCTCAACTAGGCTTCACAGGGCAGAAACACTGCACATATTTTGCTGTATTTCAGTGCCAGAGAAAGAAGTGATTTCTCTGTGAACTCTCCTAGAAGAATGAGAACTTCTGAAGCCTGTCTTTGGATTACTCCAAACTCCAACCGATGTGTTTTTTTGTTTGTTTGTTTGTTTTTGTTTTGTTTTGTTTTTGTCGTTCCGGATTGCTATTATAAGAAGCTACGGTCTGCCTTTGAGATCTGTGCGTCCCTAAAATAATGATGCATCAGTCATTTGGAAATATTCAGTGAGATATTCAGATCTCCTAAAAGTTGGCATATTTCATCATAGAACATCAAGAAAAAATCACTATTGTTAACATCTCCATCAGTCTCTTCAGAAAACTGTTCATGTATGAGAAGCCATCAGTTTCATAGTTGCCAATAAACATTTTACAAGGTTCTAAGTTTTACTGGAAAGTTCAAATTTTCCATTGGCAATAAATACTATCATTTTTACCCTTGACAGCTACCTACCTTTGGTTTGTTTTCTAGAAAATTTCTGCTGGATATCCAAGCCTGAGTAAACCTAGTTTGTCTCTGTGTTATTTTTTTCAGGTGAAAATCATGTTCCATGGAAGAAGAGTTAGCTCAGCCTGCAACTCAAACAAGTACAGATATTCTTCCATGGAATGACCATCATACTTGGATTGTAATAAAAATGCTTTAGGCAAACTTCTCATTTCATCCTTGGCATATTAAAAATATGTATGTATGTTTAAGGCTTGAAACTTAACACTGTATTTTAATGTTTCAGTAAGGTAATTCTTCTTAAATAAAATTGGCATTTTTAAAAAAGCCCTCTCTCACCACTCCTATTCAACATAGTGTTGGAAGTTCTGGCCAGGGCAATTAGGCAGGAGAAAGAAATAAAGGGTATTCAATTAGGAAAAGAGGAAGTCAAATTGTCCCTGTTTGCAGATGACATGATTGTATATCTAGAAAACCCCATTGTCTCAGCCCAAAATCTCCTTAAGCTGATAAGCAACTTCAGCAAAGTCTCAGGTTACAAAATCAATGTACAAAAATCACAAGCATTCTTATACACCAATAACAGACAAGCAGAGAGCCAAATTATGAGTGAACTCCCATTCATAATTGCTTCAAAGAGAATAAAATACCTAGGAATCCAACTTACAAGGGATGTGAAGGACCTCTTCAAGGAGAACTACAAACCACTGCTTAAGGAAATAAAAGAGGATACAAAGAAATGGAAGAACATTCCATGCTCATGGGTAGGAAGAATCAATATCGTGAAAATGGCCATACTGCCCAAGGTAATTTTTATAGATTCAATGCCATCCCCATCAAGCTACCACTGACTTTCTTCACAGAATTGGAAAAAACAACTACTTTAAAGTTCATATGGAACCAAAAAAGAGCCCGCATTGCCAAGTCAATCCTAAGCCAAAAGAACAAAGCTGGGGGCATCACACTACCTGACTTCAAACTATACTACAAGGCTACAGTAACCAAAACAGCAGGGTACTGGTACCAAAACAGAGATATTGATCAATGGAACAGAACAGAGCCCTCAGAAATAACGCCGCACATCTACAACTATCTGATCTTTGACAAACCTGACAAAAACAAGCAATGGGGAAAGGATTCCCTATTTAATAAATAGTGCCGGGAAAACTGGCCAGCTATATGGAGAAAGCTGAAACTGGATCCCTTCCTCACACCTTATACAAAAATTAATTCAAGATGGATTAAAGACTTAAATGTTAGACCTAAAACCATAAAAACCCTAGAAGAAAACCTAGGCATTACCATTCAGGACATAGGCATGGGCAAGGACTTCATGTCTAAAACACCAAAAGTAATGGCAACAAAAGCCAAAATTGAGAAATGGGATCTAATGAAACTAAAGAGCTTCTGCACAGCAAAAGAAACTACCATCAGAGTGAACAGGCAACCCACAAAATGGGAGAAAATTTTCGCAACCTACTCATCTGACAAAGGGCTAATATCCAGAATCTACAATGAACTCAAACAAATTTACAAGAAAAAAACAAACAACCCCATCAAAAAGTGGGCAAAAGACATGAACAGACACTTCTCAAAAGAAGACATTTATGCAGCCAAAAAACACATGAAAAATTGCTTACCATCACTGGCCATCAGAGAAATGCAAATCAAAACTACAATGAGATACCATCTCACACCAGTTAGAATGGCAATTATTAAAAAGTCAGGAAACAACAGGTGCTAGAGGGGATGTGGAGAAATAGGAACACTTTTACACTGTTGGTGGGACCGTAAACTAGTTCAACCATTGTGGAAGGCAGTGTGGTGATTCCTCAGGGTTCTAGAACTAGAAATACCATTTGACCCAGTCATCCCATTACTGGGTATATACCCAAAGGATTATAAATCATGCTGCTATAAAGACACATGCACACGTATGTTTATTGTAGCACTATTCACAATAGCAAAGACTTGGAACCAACCCAAATGTCCAACAATGATTGATAGACTGGATTAAGAAAATGTGGCACATATACACCATGCAATACTATGCAGCCATAAAAGATGAAGAGTTCATGTCCTTTGTAGGGACATGGATGAAATTGGAAATCATCATTCTCAGTAAACTATTGCAAGGATAAAAAACCAAACACCGCATGTTCTCACTCATAGGTGGGAATTGAACAATGAGAACACATGGACACAGGAAGGGGAACATCACACTCTGGGGACTGTTGTGGGGTGGGGGGAGGGGGGAGGGATAGCATTAGAGGATATACCTAATGCTAAATGATGAGTTAATGGGTGCAGCATACCAGCATGGCACATGTATACATATGTAATTAACCTGCACAGTATGCACATGTACCCTAAAACTTAATGTATAATAATAATAAAATAAAATAAAATAAAATAAAAAATAAAAAAGTGCCTGAAGTTTCGTGTTGAAGAAACTAATCGCAACTAGTACAGTTGCCACTAAACACCGCCTTGACTAAGATTTAAATTTCAACAAAGTGATATTATTATTAAAATGGTTTTGACTTCATAGATCCTGGAAGCGTTTCAGGGAGCCCCAATGGTGGACCACACTTTGGGAACCACTGTTCTAAGCTCTGTTCCATTTTGCCCTATTTACTGATTGAAATGTACTGATGGGGGTGGAGTGGTGATTAGGGTTACAGTGTTAATGCTACACACCTCCAAAAGCAACTTTTATATAACAAAAAATAAATCCTCAATTTGCTTGGTGTTTCAGATCTTGTAACTCTAAGTGAGGATGATGATAAAATAAATGAATACATTTTCATTCTTTCTTGTCAGGTTGTCGAATTCTCTTCCAAAGGAATGAAAATCTCAAATATAAGCTTGAGGCTGGGGGCGATGGCTCACACCTGTAATCCCAGTATTTTGGGAGGCTGAGGTGGGAGGATTGCTTGAGCCCAGGAATTCAAGATCAGCATGGACAACATGGAAAGACTCCCATTTCTAAATATATTTGCATACATATACACATATATACACAAATATATATATATATGTATGTGTGTGTATATATATATGTATATTTTAAATTAGCTAGGTACAGTGGTGTGCTCCTGTGGTCACACCTACTCAGGAGGCTGAGGCAGGAGGTTCGCCTAAGCCAGGGAGGTCAAGGCTGCAGTGAGCTGTGATCATGCCACTACACTCTATCCTGGGTGACAGAGCCAGACCCTGGCATATATATAAATATATATATATATATATATATACATATATATATATATATATATATATATATATATATACACATATATATATATGTATATATATATATATCGCAAAAAATATATATATACACACACACATATATATATGTAAGCTTGATTGTGTTTCTCCTCCCAGACCCATCAGCAATAAGTAGAAATAGGCCCAGTGCCTGGAATATGGTTGTTTTAATCCTTTGTCTGAAGTGTGTATTTTTGCCTTTCTTGCATATCATTAATAATATATAAATAAGAAAGAGTAAGAATACATGTAAAGGCCTATGTTTGTCAGTGAGCTACTCTAAAGTGTGAATAACATTAGCAGATGAAATATGCACAATGTTCAGAATCTTTTTAACTTCAGATAAGAGTTTATTATTTAATTTTTTATAAAACAGCCTGATAATTATAATTTCCATAAACTTCTGGCTTTTTTAGAAAAGCAAAAACAGCCAAACAAAATAAAAACATCATCAATGAGGTATTTAAAACTTGCCGAGAGAGTTTTATGGGAAAGATTGAACACGGGAATTACCCCTGCACACAGTACAGCATTTCACTGAAAATGAGATCCATTTATTGTCCTCAATCTCTCTTCTCACCCTCACAGTCGGCTCTCCTCTTTATCTAATTATCCTCCAGTGAAAGCATTTTCCTTAGATCTTGCCTCTCAATTTCCCTGTCCTACTTATAGAGATCAACTGTGCTCCTTCCTTGTCTCTTGTTACCAAGTCTACTCACCTAGCCACCATTTACCACAACTGATAAAGCAAAAGTGATAAACTGAGGAAAAAATGTGTTGGTCTTATAAATAAAAGATTGTTCAGTCAAAAAACAGGATGGGATTGGTTATAGGTAATGAAAATTATTTTTGTCACATATGCACATTAAAAATAAGGCAATTTGTCACATACACTGCTAAAGGACTTGAAGTAAATGATGCTGGAAATGGAAAGGAAATGATGCTGGTGATGGAAAGGAGATGGTGCTGCTGATCAAAAGAAGATGGTGCTGCTGATGGAAAGGAGATGGTGCTGGAGATGATGGAAAGGAGATGGTGCTGGTGATGATGGAAAGGAGATGACACTGGTGATGATGGAAAGGAGATGACACTGGTGATGATGGAAAGCAGATGATGCTGGTGATGATGGAAAGGAGTTGATGCTGGTGATGATGGAAAGGAGATGATGCTGGTGATGGAAAGGAGATGGTGCTGATGATGATGGAAAGGAGATGGTGCTGGTGATGGAAAGGAGATGGTGCTGCTGATGGAAAGGAGGCATATATGGAAGCATGAATGGACCACACCTCATTGCCCAGTTATTCCTCTGCTTTCTATTAGCATTCTTTATGGTTTAGTGCCCTAGTCAAGTGATAGATCATCCTCTTGTTAAGATAGTCTTTATACAAACAGATTTTCTCTCCTATCTCAAGCTGATGGAAATTATTTTACTTTGCCTTATGCATTACATCCCTTTTGTGCTCATTATGCATTGAAGAGCTGGAACCACTAATAGCGGTAGCAATTTCTTCTCATAATGTTTCCTTCTCATGTAGAAAGTTATAGTTTCAAATTTAACTGGAATCACAAGAGATCAAGTGCTCTGAAATTTTATTGAAGATGCATCCAGACAAGTCAAAACCATTTTAACATTTTTTAAAATAATATATATGGTATTCCTGAATGTAGTTTTTAAATTGACTTTTGTATTTTTAAAAATGTAATTGGCCTGGCATGGTGGCTTATGCCTATAATCCCAGCACTTTGGGAGGCTGAGGCAGGTGGATCACGAGGTCAGGAGATCAAGACCATCTTGGCTAACAGGGTGAAACCCTATCTCTACTAAAAATACAAAAAATTAGCTGGATGTGGTGGCAGGTGCCTGTAGTCCCAGCTACTCGGGAGGCTGAGGCAGGAGAATGGTGTGAACCCGGGAGGCAGAGCTTGCAGTGAGCAGAGATTGCACCACTGCACTCTAGCCTGGGCTGCAAGGCGAGACTCCATCTAAAAAAAAAAAAAAATTAACTGGGCATGGTTGGCACATGTCTATAATCTCAGCTACTCGGGAGGCTGAGGCAGGAGAATCGCTTGAACCCGGGAGGCAGAGGTTGTGGTGAGCCGAGATCGTGGCATCGCACTCCAGCCTGGATGACAAGAGTGAAAATCTGTCTCAAAAAAAATGTAATTAACTTGCTCCCTAAGAATTGCTTCTAAATATACCTAGGATACTTTTTATAAGTATGGGGAAAGGCAACATTAGTGCCAGGGTCTTACTCTACAGAAAATGATTCCTCAAAACAAAGCAGAGATAAAAATAGAAATATATGACCAAATACCATTCACTGAAGATGCGATAAGTGTATCAGAGAAAAGACTGGTGTTGTTTAATGCATTATATTGTTGCTCTGCTTATTAGAATCATGTTGGTTTCCTAATGGATGTAATATTTTGTGATTATTTTGTGGCCCTTTCAATAAAATAAGTCATGAATCCCTTTGAGACATAACTCTACTGAAACACTCTTTTATGAAAAAGTAAGCTTTAACTTGAATCATTTCACTTTATCTTGCCTTTTGTTAAGAGATTTTAATCATCTGTAGGTCTGACAAATTTATGATGCTAAAAATGATCTAGTGAATATGAAGAATGCAAGATAAAGATAATTACAAGTTATTAAAATCCATGAAGAACACATGTGTTATTAAAGCAGATGGAACTTGAATTAAAGCTCAACAACTAAACCAAATATAATAATACTCAAAAATAAACAATGGTAGTTTCCCTTTTTCCTAGATATAAAATCTTCTGCTAATGCTATCTTCTGTTCCAAGATAGCCCATTAATTCTTGATTAAAACGGAACCAATCAAAATCTACCACTACCTCTTAGTTCCAAAAGCTATTTTCCTTTTTATGTAACTGGATTCAGCAAACCTGGAAGATATACTGATGGATTTTGTATACATAGTAATACATGTACTGGGGAGTTCTACCAGGAAGCCTCAAACTCATCAATGTATCTGGTTTTGGAGCCTATGCAAAAGAAACTCCTTCAAGGTGAATCTACCTAATAATATATTTTCTTTTTTTTTTTTAATAGGACACAACTGTCACAATAGGTTTCAAGATGGATCATTTTTACAACAAAAACTTCTTTTTAGTGAGTACTGATTTTCATTTTCAGGTTTTGTTGCTATCCCTATAGAATGAGACAAAAAAGAAAAACATGCCTACTAGACATCACATTAGAGTATAATGGTCAGGATCCCAGCAAGAGAAAAATGTCACATTTAAATGGGTTCAATGATACGAACTTAATTAAGAAACCACAGTATTTACTGAAATGGATATAGAGCCAAGAGAACCAACAAGGGATGGTGAATCCAAAAGGTGGTAATACCACACCTGAATGGGCAAGAGGGGAGAGTAGGTACCAGTTGCAGTTGTAGGAGATGTTGAGATTACCACCCAACAGGAGGTATGTCCTTCTTTAGAGAAACACAGCCAACCCACAGGAAGAGAGCACTGGAAATGGATACCTCAGCCTTTCTCTTCTCATATCATACAAACTCCCACCAATACCTCTGATTAGCTGAACATACTAAAAAGTTAAAAGAGAACCTGTTGATACAGACTATAAAAGTCAGCAGGTGGCCAAAATTCAAGTATGTATCTGAGAGTTCAAAAATATATATTGCATAAATATTTTTAAATTACAAGAATTTTTGTCCCTAAAAATCCTTTCATATCTTTTTATTTGTCAATGACATTTTGAGGATAGATAGATCAGCAATGAGGCCTCACTATACTTCTAAAAATGTTCTTTTTGAAATATATTTACCAAATGATCCTTGGCTATCTAAAAAAAAACATAAAGACTGTCTGATTAAGCAAACACTCTTAACAATGGCCACTTTAAAAAAAATCCTACTTATTTGGTAAAGTGCACACAAGGCACAGAAGGAAGTAACCCTGTCAGAGAATGGAAAGCAAGATTCAAGTGGCCCTTCTCTCCCAAAGCTATTATAACTAAAACCAGACCATTTTATTGCCTTTAGCTTATTTACAACTCATCATATTTTGGTAAGCTAGGAATTAAGTATTAATTTTACTTATTTGACCTTGGGAGAAATATTTAGTAATAGTAAACACAGCTGCAGCCAGATCTTGCTAAGATCACTCCATTTTATCTAATTTATTCATAATCTAAGCCAAAACTTACTTGAGAACTGAACTTAAACATATTTAACATGACCTTCATCTTATATGTATAAAATTTGACATAAAATTAACAGTGTAATATTTAAAAAAAAGGTATACAATTACTTTAATGTGTTATTGAACTAAGAAAAGGGCAAATGAGTCATTTGATATTAAGGTTATGTATATTTCTTGAAATACACCCTTCAAATACCATTTATGTTTAAAGACTTATTTAATACCTAAGTCTTTTCATTCTCATTCTTAAGTAGGAAATGTAAATTGGTCCAGCCATTCAAGAGAATAATTAAATATTACCTATAAAATGTCATGAAATAGGCATTACCTTTACCCAACTATTTTCACTTCCAGGGATTATCCTAAGAAAATAATCAAACTTTTTAACTAAGTTTTATGTACAGGTTTGCTAACGCATAGAGAAAAATGGATGGGAAGAAGTTATTAAAGAAATAATACAAGAGAATTTTCAACAGCTGAAAGTAATCTCAAATGGTCAAATTGAAAGGAATGCTGAAAAGGATGAACAACAAAGATCATGACGCACACCAAAATATGATGAATTTTCACAGCTTCATGAATGAAAATTTTAAAAAGTTTCCAAAGAGGAAAAAGTGCTGTCACCCACAGAAGAATGAGTTCACACTTCTCACTAGAAAGCACCAAAATGCCTTAAAAGAATGGGTAATTTGGAAAGTATAGGGAAAGGTAACTTTCAACCCATTATTATAAAAATACCTAAAGTTTGAGGTAATATGAGTATAATTGGACGAGAGCATGGGAAATGCCTTTTCTCTACTTTCTGACACCCAAAACCTCAAATACCACTACAGGGAGAAAAAAAGAATAGAAATCATGCTTTGACTTTAAACTGGAAATAAATAAGAAATTCAGAAGTGTCTGGGTTTATTTGGAAATGAGAAGATCAGTCTGTCATCATGTATGATAGCAATTTATAAAAGAAGTTAAAAACTGTAAGAAGTTTTCTTTTTTTTTTTTTTTTGCACCCCTGAGTATGTGGCTTGGGACATTCATAGCTATTATTATGATCATTACTAACAGCAATTATTTCTGAATGCTTATTATCTACTAGCTACTTTGTTTTATCCTCTACATATAAAATCATATTGAGTACTCAACAATTGGATGGGATGTGGGTATTATTATCTTCAGTTTTTCAATGACAAACTAAGGCTTGGGAACTATAAGTAACTTTCCCAAAGTCATACATTTTGCAAGTGGTAAAGTTAAATTACAACCAGATTTTCATGACTCATTTAAACCCATTGTCTTAAACATTATTTTAAAATCTTACAATGATCCAACTAATTATCCTTAGCAAACAATACACAGACCTTCCTTGACCTCTCAACAATTCAGTGCTTGCTTTACTATTAACATTTTTTGTTGTTGACAGAAATAATTAAAATATTTTCAATCCCGTATCTCCAGGACCTTCTTGGTATTATCCTTTTAAATTCCCTTCCAGAAGCTACATGACTCATCTCTTCAAAATCTCCTCTTCCATGAAACCTAGAGGAGAGAAAGCCTATTTTCAATAAGTCGTAGCATTCCTTGTTCTCTGCTGATAAGACTCTACTGAATAAGTACCTGTGTAGGGGCATTCAGCATTGGCTTAATTCATACCCAAGGGCACCTTACACTGCTAAAAGCTTCCAAAAAATTCTAGAAAAGTGCCTGAAGGAAAATTTTAAGTACTAGTGGAAAAATCATAAAAGGATAGTTCAGGGAAAGAGAAATAATTGTTATTTTCTACTATAAAAGCAAACACTGAACTTCATGGAGTTCGACATGTGTCTAAAATTGATTGTGGGCCACTCTTGGCTTTCATCTTGATGAGCCATTTATCTTCTGTGAGAATTTAGAATACTTTACCTTCCCACTTTTATTCACCTCCCTGCACTCCAACCACATCTTCAGCATAGTGTCCTAGACTCTAGCAGGATTCTAGAGCCTGTAAGAATGTTCTTTAAACTGCAGAAGTCATATGCCAGAAGTATTTCGAAGCTCGGTTTTATTGTTCACTTTAACGTAGTCCGGATGTCTCAGTACTAAGTCTACAGCTGAAGGTTGCTTATTCATTGTCCATCTTATCTATTTTTAATGTAGGAGACGTAAAGATTTTTTCTATGCATAAATAAGCTAATATTATAAACAAATGCAAGTGCTTGTAATTGTATGTAACTGATATGAGAGTTAAAAAGAAATTATTTAGGCAGATAGTGAGGGTCAGGAAGTCCTCAGTAAGGTTTTCCTTTTAACAAAGAGCAGCACACAAATCATTTTCTTTTCTAACGAAGAGCAGCCTATAAAATCAAGCTGCAGACATAGATAAGTGAACAGGAAGCTTGCACGGGTGAATGCCAACAGCTGTGCCAAGTAGGAAAGGGGCTACCTGGAAGCTAGGCATGTTCAACATGGTGGCTCCATCTTCCCTTCTCTTTACCAAACCACATGTACAGTAAGGAGAAGACAACATTGCACTGGCCAAGTAAAGACTATATTTGCATAATAGAAGATTAGGATGGGGCAGCCAGCTTCCTCATGCATTATGCAAACATCACACCTAATCCAACCAATCCTTGGGCCCTGTGTAAATCAGACACTGCCTCCTCAAAGCAGCCTATAAAATCCAGTGCACTTTACTGTGGGCCAGGAGTCCAACTCAGGCACCCCCCTCTCTCACAGGATAGAGAGCTATTCTTCTTTCTCTTTCTTTTGCTTTTTTTTTTTTTTTTTTTTTTTTAGACTGAGTCTCACTCTGTCACCAGGTTAGAGAGCAGCAGTGCAATCTCCACTCACTGCAACCTCTGCCTCCCAGGTTCAAGCGAGTCTCCTGCCTCAGCCTCCTGACTAGCTGGAACTACAGGCACACGCCACCACGCCCAGCTAATTTTTGTTTTTGTTTTTTGTTTTTTGTTTTTTGGTTTTTTTTTGGTAGAGACGGGGGTCCTACCATGTTGGCCAGGATGGTCTCGATCTCTTGACCTCATGATCCACCCACCTCGGCCTCCCAAAGTGTTGGGATTACAGGCATGAGCCATTGCACCCCGCCTCTTTTGCCTATTAAACCTCTGCTCCTAAACTCACTTCTTGTGTGTCCATGTACTTCATTTTCTTGACGCGAGATGACAAACCTCGAGTATTTACCCCAGACAAAGACGCAGCTTCAAAACAAAGAGAGAATCAGTAATTTTTATAGTTTAGTTAATTCCGTATTTAAACTTCCAAAGCACATGTCAAACACAATAATCTTGACGTTTCAATGGCCCTCTATTTCTTTTCTTCAGTTATGAAGACCAAGGAGCACTTTACAATATTTTTTACTGCTTCTGCTTTGTTTACTTTTTTTTTTTTTTTTTTTTTTTGACAGAGCCTCGCTCTTTCGTCCAGACTGGAGTGTAATGGTGCAATCTCAGCTCACTGCAACCACCATGACCCAGGATCAAGCAATTCTCCTGACTCAGCCTCCTGAGTAGCTGGGACTACAGGTGCACACCACCGCACCCAGCTAATTTTTGTATTTTTAGTAGAGATGGTTTCATCATATTGGTCAGGCTGGTCTCGAACTCCTGACCTCAGGTGATCCGCCTCCCAAATCTCGGCCTCCAAAGTGGTGTTTTGTTTACTTTTATATTTTCTATAACATTTAGTCACTAAATGGGAAACAAATTAAACTTTCTTTCACTTGGGCAGAAACAGTTTGATCCAAGATATTTTCTTGTCAGATTTTGTCAGAAAAAAATGTCAACTTTGTTTCTAACTTAACTTCTGCAGTATCTTGTAATCATCTGCTAAAGTACCTGCAGAGATGTTCCAAAACAACGTCTGGAATATCCTGGAAGTCTCTCATGTGTGCTCTGAAATGAAACCAGTAAGCTCTGTGCTCCCCATTCCTTGTTCCTCTGGCCTTCATCCATGTTTTCCAGCTTGATTATCTCTGTAGAGTACCACTGTGGCCTTCAGGAGCTTCCCAGTCATTCAGCAGCCTTACCTCTGCTTGAAGTATTGCCACTTTTGCTGATCTGTTAGTTTGCAACTATTTTTATGGAGTATCTACCGAGTGTCCAGGACTGGTGTACAGGTTGGAGATTATAGCAAATGCCCTCACCCTAGTGGAGCTTACATTTTAGTGAAACAACGATGGGGAAATATAATTATAAAAAAACCCATTACCTCCCCCCAGAAAATCTCTCTACAAAAGTAAAAGAGAAACAAAACCTTTATTATTGGAGAAGCATTAAATCAAAATGTGATGCACATCACAGCCAATCTGTTAAGAGACTGCGAAGACAGAAATAAATCTCATTCTTTTAGGGAGTTAAGCAGATACGATCACTTACATGCGTGATATCAAGGTAAACAATAACTATTTCTCAAGTAAGAGGACTTGACAGCAACATTTGTTGTATATAGTCTAACCTAAATTTACTTGGCAATTGGGGTAGCCACCTGTGGTTGTCAATTGTCTTTAAAATAAAATAATTATTTTCTCATGTTTCTACAACCTGTGGTAGGTTTGCAACTTGGAGCCAAACCCCAGCTGAAGTTAGAATCCTATCTTCCCAGAAAACTGGGAGACAGACACACCATCTTCCTTGATGATTATATTTCAAAGAGATGGCTCTCAGAGCCTTAGGAAACATTCTCGTGGTATAATTGGCAAGGTCCTTATTAAGCTTTTAAAGAGATTTATATACATTTTAGGAGGCAGAGAAAGAGCTTCCAATTGCAAGTGTTTTAAAGTAAATGCTTCAAGAAAAGAGAGGAGAAGTATCTTTCCTCATTTTCAAGAAATCAAACTAAGCCTTTTATCTTAAATTTGTATCTTATCTTTAAAAGGACACAGACCATCAACAAGTGGATAAGAAATGAATAAATAAAGAAATAAACATTTTATAATAAAATTCAAAACAGAATGTTCTTTAAGGAAAATAAAATAAGTTAATGCATTCAGGGAGTACTTTAGGTAGAACATGAAGTGTACACTGTCTAAGAAAGTGATGTTTGACTTGAGATGTGAGAAGACAATGTGAAAATTCCAAGCAGAGAAAGGAGTGAGTACCAAGGCCTCGAAAGAGGATCACGACTGAGTTGTTCAACAGACATAAATAGGCAGGAATGACTGGGGTACAATAAAATTTGGAGAGAATAGAGAAAGATGGGGGTGAAGAGGAAGACTGGGGCAAGATTGTTAAGACTTTGTAGGCTAGAGAATGGAGTTTATATTTTATTCTGGTTGCATGGAAGTATTTCAAGCAGTGAAAGAACATAATCTAATTTATCATTTAGAAAGACGTTCGGCTTCTGTGTGGCAGATGAACTATTTAAAAATGGTGACGATCATTGTGGAAGCATATTGGGCAAAGTGTGGAGGTAGAGAAACAAGTTAAGAAGCAGGTTTGAGATTCCAAACAATAGCTTAGTTTGCTAGGACTAGGGTTGCGGTAGTAGAGGTGCTGAGCAGAGTAATAGGTTTGCAATATAATTAGAATAAAAGAAAAGTCATTAAGGAATGGGATGCATCCTGCATCATGTGCGATATGAGGGTAAGAATGGAATTAAGCATGATTTCAAAATTTCTGGTCTTAGAAAGATGGTAGTGGTGCCATCTATTAAGATGGTATAGACTTGAAAAGTAGATTTGGGAGAAGAGAAGAATCATGGCTGTCCTATTGGGCATTCAAGCAGCAATATTCAGTGGCAAAGAGTCTGGAGCTATGGGGGAGTGTGCATCTGCATTTCCTGTTCCGTGTCAGCTGTGGCTTAATAGCCCCACTGAACGTTGCTAACTCTGTTGGGCACCTGTGCACTCTAGGTACCAGGGTGACAGGATATTCCATTGCATAGTGGGTAGTGAAAATTTTTACTATTTTTGCTCTTACCTTGTAATTATCAGGTTCCAAAGCAGTGTTTTTATGTGTCTCACTGTATCTGTAAATCTTGATTACAACATATAAGCCAAGTTCAGTTCCACCCCTCCTGATCACTGAGCTTCTGCCAGGATCAAACTTGTGTTACCATCTTTTTTTTACTTCTTTCCCATTGGTTTTTACACCAGCCACAGCCTGGCTCAGCTTGATCTCTGTCTTGGAGATCACAGGGCAGAAAGCAAGAGGTGGGCAGGACTGTGATTCTTTATGGAAGTTCTGGGGATGACTTTGCTTCCAAGGATTTGAATCATTCAAGTTGCTGGCAGAATTCAGCCCTATGGGGTTGTATGACTGAGGTCAGTCTCCTTGCTGGCTGTCAGCTTAGAGGCATTCTCAGCTTCTAGAGGTAGTTCACATTTCTCAGCTTGTGGCTCCCTTTCTCCATCTTCAAAGCCAGTAATTGTTATAGTAAGCACTCAGGTAGACATGAGCAGGGCAGGAGAAGGCCCCTGCCAACAGGAATGTCAGGCAACCATTAGGTGATGGGCAAGTGGTTGGTAAACTGTCCCTCTAAAATAATAACTGGTCACAGCTGGTATCAGGGAAAGGCAATCTCCCAATAGACAGACAAAACCTGAAACTGGTGATCAGCAACCTCCCAATAAGATGTCAGGAGTTGGGCAAGTGGGCTTGAGCATGCGCACTAAGAGGAAAAATGGTGGAGTTTAACTGGTGTATGACCTTCTTCTAGGAAAGGAAAAACACCTCAAGTGAGCATAAGCACAACTCCAGTAAACACACTGTGCATGCGGCCCCTCCCAAGTGCTGGCAGGCTACCGCACATGCAGACAGCCCACCCTAAGGGAAGAATCAGGGGAGAAGAGAGGCAGACCCCCAGAAGCATGCCAACATATGAGACATCAAGTCAAAGGTCAAACCGGGCACTTGACTCTCTCAAGTCTCCCTCTCGGCCCTCTTTCAAGTGTAACTTACTTCCTTTCATTTCTGCTCTAAAACTTTTAAATAAACTTTCACTTCTGCTCTAAAACTTGCCTTGGTCTCTCCTTCTGCGTTATGGCCCTTGGTTGAATTTCCATCTCTTTTTGAAGAGGCAAAAATTGAGGTTGCTGCAGACCATTACGGATTCACTGCTGCTAATATAATGAGGCCTTTTCCTGTTCTGATATCTCTGATACCTCCTTTGGCTTTACCTTTCCTCTGCTTGTCTCTGCTGACTTCTTGATCTTCAACCAGCTAGAGTGCATTCTCTGCTTTTAAGGTAGCATGTGATTAGATTAGGTGCACCTGGATAATCCAAGCCACTCTTCCTATTTTAAGAAAGTAACCTGAATTACTTATAAAGTAACCTGAATTACTGCATAATCTGCATAATCCTTTCAAGGGGACTAGATTCATGTTTAATTGCATAACTAGAGGATGTAAATCTCAGGGAGAAATCTTTAGAATGCTACTTACCCAGTTCCTCAATCTTAAAGAATCTTTTTTTGAGCTGACACACCAGTTCATTAGTCTTACACAGATGAGTTTTAATCCCAGTAGCTGACAGCTCAACCCCAAATTAGTACAGCTGCTATAATAATGTTCATTTATTTATTTAACAAGTACATATTGAGCTCATTATATTTTGAGCACTAGAGATACAGCAGGAAACAAGTTAAACAGATCTTCTTTTGGCACATACATGCTAAAGATACATGCTGATGGGCTGGGTGCGGTGGCTCACGCCTGTAATCCCAGCACTTCGGGAGGCCGAGGTGGGTAGATCACGAGGTCAGGAGATCGAGACCATCCTGGCTAACATGATGAAACCCCGTCTCTACTAAAAATACAAAAAAAAAAAAAATTAGCTGGGTGTGGTGGCGGGCACCTGTAGTCTCAGCCACTTGGGAGGCTGAGGCAGGAGAATGGCATGAACCTGGAAGGCGGAGCTTGCAGGGAGCCGAGATCACGCCACTGCACTCCAGCCTGGGTGACAGAGCAAGACTCTATCTTAAAAAAAAGAAAAAAAAGAAAAGAAAAGAAAAAAAAAGTTACATGCTGATGGATGTTATTTTGATGTCTTAATGAGACTGGTAGTCTAAAAATTGGGAAAATTTAAATAAGCATCAGAAATTCCAGGTTACTTTTAGATCATTAGTCTGAACACGATGAAATCAATGTGTTGGCCATTCTTGCCTCTCATCTCTCTTTGCTATTATCTCATCAGTAATAGCAGAAACAAAAATCTCCCTCTCTACAATCTTCCTGTTTTTTACACTTAAAGTCTACAACATAGAGTTTATTCATTTGCAGAATAACTAAGGCTAGAAAATACTATGTACTCCAAAGGAATTTGGCTCTTCAGATATCCAACAGGCACCTAGAAGGCTTATTCTGCAAACAGCAATTACATATAAGAGTCTCAAAGATAAAGATTAGTGGATTCAGAATGGAATTATTGGTCTGTGGGGTCATACTTGGACTACAGATAAATCTAAAAGAAGCAAATTTTAAAGAGCAAAGAGCTACTTGGGGAGGAGTAAGCAAAGAAAGAAATTTTATTCTGACTTGCTCAGTTGTGAGGGCCCTGGTTTGAGTCTGGAATTAAAGCACATTTCCTGAAGTGGCTATTCTTAGTTCATCCTATTCTCCATTTGACCCTCAACTGTTATCCTTTTGTATCCAAGTAGTATCATAAGCCTCTCACAAGGCTGACAAGTAAATGAAAAATGTGTGAGTAAATCCATTATCCTATCTCAAAAGGCAAACAGGTTAAGAACAAATGGAGACCCTACTTCACTGCCTACAGCCTCAGTAAGGTTGATTTGTCTATATAATTTATTTTGTTAAGAATTTTATTTTGTTAAGTTCCTTAAAATCACTCATCTTACCAATAACAGTTATACAGAAGGGGGCCCAATTAAGTCATGAGAACAGATTGATTAATCTGATTTAGATTGTTTGTGTAGTTTTGTGTTGTTAATGCTGCAAATATTAGGCATAATTTAATTTACAGTAAGAGGAGAGGAAAGTGGAGAGGTGGGTTCCAAAGAGGTGAAATGTCTTGAGGTTCTGAAGGCATATTGCTTTAACAGTGAATGTCTGGGATGTCTTTGCTGACTCTCTGAAATGTAAAGGTTGGCAGAGTGTCACAGTTTTGTCAGTTCTAACTGTGCAGTCATCTTTTGACATGATGGGCTGTTGACAACAGAGTTAGAAATCCCAAAGAACTCTCCTACACCCCTTCACCCCAGTCCTTCAAAATCTTTTTGAAATGAAGACAAGTACTAAGTCTGATAAAAGTAACTGTCAGCTCATTTGAGCAAACATTTATCCCGTCTCTATTAAATCCCAAGTACTAATGCGAAATTATATTAAAGCCTCAGATCATTCCAGAGAATTAAGGGGAGAGTCTGCACTGAAAAACGGAAATAATACCTAACGACAACTGCCCCATTTCTGGATGTTCACATCAACACTGCCTCTCCTTCCATGTTTCTTTAGAAGCCAAACAATCCCTCTAGAAATTTCAGCAGTATCCAGATTTTATAAGAGGCAAGAGAATTCCAGGGGTAAACATAATGTTAACACTTGTTAATGGTAGACCAGCATGTGTTCTTATTGTATTTTCATTTCTTAAATACATGGGTTTATTTTTAAATGGGTGGAAGACAGGTATGCTATTCTTCATCATTAGCATTCAGTAGAATATGTAATTATTAGCTGGAGTTCTCTCCCTACCCCCACTCCATGTTAAAGTTTTGCAATCATTCATATACTATTGATTCACAATCTAAGCTCAGGGAAAATCTTGTTTTCCCAGATTAAAATAAAATCTCTCTCTCTCTCTCTCTCTCTCACACACACACACACACACACACATGCACACAATGATTTGTCTATTTCCATTTCTCTCTGTTTTTCTTTTGTTTCGCTATTTATACAAGTCAATAAAAACAAGCTAATCTAATTACTCTGTGAGAAATAGCCAGGCATAAAAAAGACAAATACTCTATGATCTCACTTTATGTGGAATCTAAGAAAGTGGAGCTCATAGAAGCAGAGAGTAGAATGGTGGTTTCAAGGAAATGGGGACTGGGGAATTGGGGGAAATGTTGCTCAGAGGTTACAGAGTTTCAGTTAGACAATGAACAAAGTCTGGAGTTGTATTGTGCAGGATGACTACAGTTAATAATAACATATTGCATACTCAAAAATTGCTAAGAGAGTCGATCTTTAATATTCTTTCCACACACACACACAAAGGATAACTATTTTAGGTGACTAATATGCTAATTAACTTGATTGTGGTACTAATTTCACAATGTATACATAGATCAAGACATTGCATTGTATACTGCAAACTCATGCAATTTTTATTTGTAAATATACCTCAATAAATCTGGGGGACAAAAGGAAGCAGGTTGTATAACATATACAAACATCGTGCAGGTTATCCCTGGGGATTTTACTTAGACTGCCTTGAGATGAGCTCATAACTTCTTTGGGGAGAGATAAACGAGCAAAACAAGAGCAACACGGAAAGGCTGGTTGTTTGGTGTGTGGGGATGGTTTTTTTTTTTTCTCCCAATGCTGAACACTCCTTCAGCAGCGGAGACAGATGTAGAATGACAGATGTGAGACCAATGAGTCTCTCTGTAATGCCTGCTCTTGTGCTGAAATATCTGAACACACATCACTCACAGAGTGGAGCACACTCACCAGCTTTACTCACTTGCAGAAGAAAGAGACATATTCTAATATCCATTTTCCTCTTTTAGCACCTGTGTGAAACCTTAAGGATAAGAATTTACCAGCTCATGCTTACCAAGTCAAAAGAAAGCCTTCCACCCCAAAGCTCAGGCAAGGAATTTGGCACAACCTCAAGACCTTTGCCTGCAGTTCAAAATGCAAGACAATAACAAATAACTTTTCATGATAATCTAATTCATATTGGGCTTATGACTTTATCTTGTATTTATTGACTCCTGACTCTACACAATTTAGTGAACATCTGACTCTGCACTTGTTCCCTAAGATAAACAAAACAAAATGTGCTCCCCTCCAGCAGGATAAACCCCACTGGAGGAAACACACATGCACACCAATGACTGGAATCCAAGCCATGATCTGAGAATTGCTAAGGTAAAGTGTAACACTCTAAGAGGATGAAGAAGTTTTGATGACTTCAATCTGGGAAGGCCAGAAAATATTTCATGAAACAAGAGGCAGCAAGTTTGAGCCTTTTTTAAATAGACAGACTCATAAGATTCAAAAGTCTAGAAAGAAGGCATTCCTAACCTAAGATAAGTGATAACCAACATTCGGAGCTGTTAAAAGCACATCTAGTGTTAGGAAATGACATGTGTCAGTTGGTGTGAGGGTTAATTTTACGTATCAACTTAGCTGGGCCACAGTACCGAAATATTTGGTCAGACACCAGTTTAAATATTGCTGTGAAGGAATTTTTTATTTCAGATGAACCTTTAAATCAGTAGACTTGGCCGAAAGCTGATGACCCCCAGTATTGTGGGTGGGCCTCATCCAACCAGTTGAAAATCTTAAGAGAAAAAAATGAAGTTTCCCTGAGGAAGAAGCGATTCTGCGAACAGACTCTTTTAGACTTAGAGCTTCAACATCAATTCTTCCCCTGGGTCTTCAACCTGCCATTCTACCTTGCAGATTTTTGACTTGTCAGCCTTGACAATCACATAAGCCAATTCCTTAAAGTAAATCAGTCACTCTTTCTTTCTCTCTATCTCGCTGCACACACACACACACACACACACACACACACACACACTCTTTTATCTGGAGAACTGTAATCCAATTAGAAAGTCTTCAAGTGGGAAAGGGGAACTGGGGACAGTGGGTAGGAAAGGGAGAGAGTATACCAGACCTCTATCATGTATGACCTGGGATTGCAGTGTAAGAAGCCTACTGTTTATTGTTCAACATAGTAAAGCCAACCAGAGATTTTTTGAACAGGAGATTTTGTTTGTGTGTGTGTGTGTATGATGAACACCATTGCTATTGTAAGAAATGATTTTTAAAGGGGCTGATGGAAACTAGAAAGATGAGTAAGAGTATGGTTATTAATTGGTAGTTAGTAATACTTTCGTTGGTTACGGGCCTGGAACAGTATTGACCAGTTGGGAAGAAAAGCTAGCATTGGAATTTCCAAAATTTGGGGGCCTCTGGTAATACCTTGTGGATCAGAGTCATTTGATGGCAGACATCAGTGGAATGTAGGGATTTTGGATTACATCGAAGGGACCTACTGTGAATGCATGACTAACTTTGGCAGTCCCAATATTGGAGTCCAGATGTTTATGATTTTGATTGCTCTAACTTACCTAACAGTAGTAATTCAACATCCTGAAATTTTCATCTAGATCTTTTTCACTGGGCCTAAAAAAAAAAACCACAGAACCAGAGGCAGCTTCTATTTGCTGCTCCCCAGCCCCCAACTTAATTCCCACTTATCTTTCATCCAGCTTTCTCACTTACCAACTCCTGCTCAAAAGCTCACATGGAGAAGCCAAACTAACCACTGCACAGTTTCAAAAGGCTCATGTGTGTACCAAGGCTACTACCTCTGGATGTTGCCAATTTAGAATCCTTGTGATGCCAATGCAACATGAGGGCCCAGGAATCAAGAGGTGGAAGTGGAAGTGGCACCACTCACCATCACCCCTCATGATCCACTAGCGACATTTTTGCTTCCTGTTCCTGCAACATTACGTTCTGCTGGCCTAGAGGTCTTAGTCCCAGAGGGAGGAATGCTGCAACGAGAAGACACAACAATTCCATTAAACTGGAAGTTAAGATTGCCACCTGGACACTTTGGGCTTCTCCTACCTTCAAGTGAACAGGCTAAGAAGGGAGTTACAGTGTTGGCTGGGGTGATTGGCATGGACTATCAAGACGAAGTAGGTCTACTAATCCACAGTGGAGGTAAGGAAGAGTATGCGTGGAATATAGGAGATCCCTTAGGACATCTCTTAGTATTACCATGTCCTGTGATTAAGGTCAAAGGGAAACTACAACAGCCCAATCCAGGTGGACTACAAATGGCCCAGACCCTTCAGAAATAAAGGTTCCAGTTACTCCACCAGACAAAAACAAAAAACAAAAACACTACCTGCTGAGGTGCTTACTCATGCCTCAGTCTCCGAAGTAGCTGGGACTACAGGCATGCTCCACCATGCTCGGCTAATTTTTTTTTTCAGTAGAGATGGGGTCTCACCATGTTGGCGAGGCTGACCCTCAGGTGACCCACCCACCTCAGCCTCCCAAAGTGCTGGAATTACAGCTATGAGCCACCACACCTGGCCACTTGACTTCATTCTTAATTTTTATTTTTAGCAAATTAAACATGAACATAGCTTAAAAATTCAAGTAGTTGAATAAGGCTTTTAATGAAAAAATCATTATCTGCCTTACTCTTCATAGCCCCAGAGATATACTCTGCAACAGTCAATAACTTCAAACTTAAATTCCAGCTGTTTGCTATGGAATGTAACTCCCTGTTTTTAAATAATCTGCCTTTAGAGTTATTATTATTTTAGAATTAAATATTGACTCAACTCTTTACTATGTAAGATTACAATTTAGGTTTTTATACCCTTACCATATATGTTATTTGGATGAGTATTTGGTTTACATTAATGACAGCAAGTTTAGTGATTCCTTGCCTCTTCTCTTTTTATATGAGGCTCTGAACTGAGAACAAGAGATGGCAGTTATCCACAGTCAAACAAGCACCTGTTCTCGAGATCTAATAGTCTTATAGGATGTCTCAGGTGGACACTGTGGTCTAAAATGTCTCATTAGAATATGGAGATACCTGTTTTACACTATTGTTCTTAGGGTGCTCTAATATTTGGGAATCTACTCTGTGTCCTTCACTCATCAGCTTTCTGCAAGGTATACAATGGGGTCCTAGGCAACAAGCAGAAGCAAGGGAGAAAGGAGACGTTGTCTCCCTACCCCCAGTCAACTGTAGATTACATCAGCATGAATAATGAGTATGAGGGGAGTCAAAGGAACTTGAAATGAGTGTGAGAAGAAAGGAGATATATGAGTATAAGTAATAATCATCATCATCATAGTAATAATAACGTTAACTTCTGTCATTGTTTTGGCTGTTTCTACATGTTGAGATGTTCTGGCCACAATATAAGGAATCAGCACGTGTTTGTAAAGTCCCTTTGCAAAAATATATAATAAGAATAATAACAAAAACAAAAATAAAATCTAGAACCAGATAATTAACAACAAATTTTGATATTGAAGATTTATTTGGATAATTCAATTACATCTGCCTGAGGAAAATAATGCAACCTTTTGAAATATCAGTAATTCAAATCTCATGTGATGAAGTAGGAAAAACAGAGATGTAACCACTAATTAAAAACTATTCCAGCCGGGTGCGGTGGCTTACGCCTGTAATCCCAGCACTTTGGGAGGCCGAGGTGGGTGAATCACGAGGACATGAGTTCAAGACCAGCCTGATCAACATGATGAAACCCCGTCTCTACTAAAAATACAAAAATTAGCCAGGTGTGGTGGCATGTGCCTGTAATCCCAGCCACTCAGGAGGCTGAGGCAGGAGAATCACTTTAACCCTGGAGGCAGAGGTAGCAGTGAGCTGAGATCATGCCACTGCACTCCAGCCCGGGTGACAGAGCCAGACTCTGTCTCAAAAAAAAAAAAAAACAAAAAAAAAAACTATTCCAGCAAGACTGTTTTGAGTTGTCCAATGGTGACAACATCATACTGTACGTTACTCAATCAGCATGAGACAGTAGGAAACCTTAGCTGACTGTCTACAGGGCATGAGGTGCAAGTGGGAACTGAAAGCACAAAATAGTCATTGAGCTTATTGGTTGTCAAGCTTTTGTGATTCTATCTGTACTACTATTAATGTTTTATCAAATGGTCACAAACTGTGTATTATTTTTATGTTATTTTCGCTATAAAAAGTAATACTTATAAAGAGTATTTTCTATATCAGATTATTAAATAATTACTGGTGGAGAAGAGATTGAAGACCAAAGTTACAAATGATTTAAAAAAAAAAAACATTTCAAAAGTGGTGAAGGGAGAGCCAAGGCAAGATGGCCTACTAGACAGAGCCAGGAAAAACATCTGCCACCAAGGGACAAGGACTTCAGGAAGACTGGTGCATCTCCCAGGAGATATTCAGAGTGAAGGCATTGAGAGTGGACAGATGGAAGATACAGACACTGGGCTGAAAGGGGAGGAAGCTGGGAACCCTGCATGAGGTGACCACGCACCGAGACTCGTTCCTGACCCCCAACAATTCTGGGGAAAGGGGTGAGTTGAGCAGGCAAGGAGTGACCTGCTCTTGCCTCAGACATCTAGAATCCTGGCAGCAGGGGAACTCATGATTCTCAGGGACACTTGAGCTGGCAGGGAAAGCTGCTTAGAGAGGTGGTAGCGGCAGTACTTCAGCCTGTGTAGAGCCCACAGAGTTTGGTGTTGGAATATTTGCAGTGGAGCACAGTCAGGGATGTTCACCCTCCAAGGCTCCCCGTGCTCCCTTAGAAGACTCTAGTCTTAGGGAAACTGTCATACCTGAACAGAGAAGGAAAATCTTGAATGTGAGATGGGGCCAGTTTGACCTGAGCACTCCCCTGTAAGCTGGCTTCTCCTGGATCCCCAGCCTGACTGTGCCTGTTTGTGGTACAGCCTCAGGTGCCCAAGTAGGGTGCCTCCTGGGGACCTGCATCATAGCTCCTATACTAGCAGACTGCACCTGACCATTTGAGAGCTCTAGCAGAGTGGTTCCCACTGACACACACAAGCCCATCCACACCCTAATCCTATGGCAACCTCCCCCATGACACTTTGCTGGCACACACTTGCCCATGCCCACCTACCCCATTGCTTTGCTGAAGCATGAGCATGTAGGTGGACCTCGCCTCCCCTTACCTGCCAGCATGTGTGTGTGCATGGATGCCAACATGCTTCTGTTGCTAGTGTGAGTACACCCCGCTCCTAGCCATACCACCATTGCCAATGTGAATGCATGCATATAGAGGTCAGCAGCCCTTCTCACCCTCTGTGCTGCCACTGCTGTGAATGCCTGCATAGAGGCCAGCAACCCTGTGCCCACCAGTGCCCCACCCCAGCCTATGAGCAAGCACCCCACCATGCTGCTGCTACTGGCACAAACAAACAAGCACAGATCCTAGTGCCACTGCCTGATGCAATGCTTTGGCTGGCCCTACTCGTTACAGTGTTGTGGCCAGCAGTCCTGGAACACATCAGCCCCTCCAATGCACAGTTTCCTAACCTTGAGGGACCAGAGAACAAAGCTCGACATCCAATACCAGTCCCCCAGAGGTACAGCATGCAACTTAGGGGTGCCAACCTGTGCCTTGGCCTCCTAAAATCCTCCACAAATGAAGCCAGTTGACTAAACCCACCTACACCACAATGAAACTTCCAAGGGCATTGAAGATTAAAGCCAAAAAATCTCGTTCAGAGGATAGCAACATCAAAGACTGAAGGAGCATGAGATCACAAAGATGAGGAATAACAAAGCAAGAACTCTGGCAACTCAAAAAGCCAGAGTGTCTTCTTACCACTAAACAACTGCACTAGTTGCCCAGACATGATCCTTAACCAGTCTGAAATAGCAGAAATAGAATTCAGAATATGAATAGGAATGAAGATCATCAAGATTCAGGAGAAAGTTGAAACCAAATTAATGTATTTTAAGGAATACAATAATATAATACAGGAGATGAAAGATGAAAAGATCATTTTTAGAATGAACTAAACTCATCTGATAGAGTTGAAAAACTCACTTCAGAAATTTCAGAATATAACTGCAAGAATTAATACCAGAATGGATCAAGCTGAGGAAAGAATCACATAGCTCAAGACTGGTTCTCTGAAATAACTCAGTCAGACAAAATAAAGTAGAATGTTTAAACTAACAAATGTTTAAAATAGCAAAACCTCTGAGAAATATGGGATTATGTAAAGACACCAAATCTATGACTCATTGGTGTCCCTGAAAGAGAAGGAGTGAAAACAAGCAACTTGGAAAACATCTCAGGAGATTGTCTATGAAAATTACCCCAACCTCTATAGAAAGGCCAATGTTTAAATTCAGGAGATGCCAAGAACTCCTGTGAAATGCTACGTGAGAAGACCATCTCCAAGACACATAGTCATTAGATTCTGCAAGAAAAAAATATTAAAGGTAACTAGAGAGAAAGATCAGGTTACCTACAAAGGGAACCTCAACAAGCTAGCAGTGAACCGTTCAGGAGAAACACTACAAGCCAGAAGAGATCAAAGGCCTATATTCAGCATTCTTAAAGAAAGGAATTTCCAACCAAGAATTTTATATCCAGCAAAATTAAGCTTTATAAGCAAGGGAGAAACACGATCTTTTTAAGACAAGCAAATGCTAAGCAAATTTGTTAGCACCTGACCTGCCTCACAAAAGGTCCTAAAAGGAGTCCTAAATATGGAAAAGAAAGACCATTACTGGCCACTACAAAAACACACTTAAGTACATAGACCAGTGACACTATAAAGCCACCGCACAAACAAATTTGCATAATAACAAGCTAACAACACAATGACAGGATCATATCCACACATATTAACACTAACCTTAAATGTAAATGGGTTAAATGCCCCAATTAAAAGGCACATATTGACAAATGGATAAAGAAGCAAGACCCAATGTTATGCTGTCTACAAGAGACCCATTTCACATGCAGTGACAACCATAGACTCAATGTAAAGGGTTGGAGGAAAATCTACCAAGAAAGTAGAAAACAGAATAAAAGTAGGAGCTGCTATTCTAATTTCAGACAAAACAGACTTTAAAACAACAAAAGTCAAAAAGACAAAGAAGGGCATTACATAATGGTAAAAGGCTTCATTCAACAATAAGGCCTAACTATCCTAAATATAAATGCTGAAGAAACAGGAGCGCCCAGACTCATAAAGCAAATTATTAGACACTTACAAAGTGCCTCATATAACCATGCAATAATATTGGGAGACTTCAACACCCCACCGACAGTATTAGACAGAGTATTGAGGCAGAAAACTAACAAAAGATATTCAGGACCCAAACTTGACACTTGAGCAAATGAATGTAATAGATATCTACAGAACTCTCCACCCAAAACAACAGAATATACATTCTCATCTGCACATGGCACATACTCTAAAATCAACCACACATTCAGACATAAAACAATCCTCAGCAAATTCCAAAAAACCAAAATCACTGGTATTGCACTCTTGGATCACAGTGCAATAAAAATACAAATCAATACATAGAAAATAGCTTAAAATTATACGATTACATATAAATTAATCTGTTCCTGAATGACAATTGGGTAAATAATGAAATTAAGGGAGAAATCAAAAAATTCTTTGAAATTAATGAGAACAAAGATATAACATGCCAGAATCTCTGGGACACAATTAAATCAGTGTTAAGAGGGAAGTTCATAACACTAAATGCCAAAAGTATAAAAATGAGACAGGTCTCAAAATAACATCCTGACATCAAAGCTAGAAGAGCTAGAGAGACAAGAGCAAACCAATAACAAAACAAACAGAGGACAGGAAATAACAAAAATTAGAGAGAAACTGAAGGAAATCGAGACACACACACAAAAAAACCATACAAAAGATCAATGAAATTAGGGGTTGGTTTTTTGAAAAAATAAAAAGATTAAAAGATACATAGACCAATAGCTAGACTAAAAGAGAGAGAGAAAGAGAGAGAGAAAGAGAGAAAGAGACAAAGGAGATGTGACAACTGACCCCGAAAAACAAACAAAAAAAAAGCTCTCAGAGACTACTATGAACACTCTATGCATGCAAGCTAGAAAACCTAGAAGAAATTGATAAATTCCTGGAAACATACAGTTACCTCAGACTGAACCAGGAAGAAATTAAATTTCTGAACCCACCAATAATGAATTCCAAAATTGAATCAGTAATAAAAGGTCTACTAATCAGAAAAAGCCCAGGACCAGATGATTTCACAACTGAATTCTACCAGATGTATGGAAGAGCTGGCACTACTACTGAAATGATTCCAAAAAAAAAAAAATGAGGAGGAGGGACTCCTCACTAACTCATTCTATGATCCCAGCATCATCCTGCTACCAAAACCTGGCAGAAACACAACAAAAAAAGAAAACTTCAGACCAATATCCTTGATGAACTTAGATGAAAAAAATCCTCAACAAAATACTGGTAAACTGAATCTAGCAACACATCAAAAAGTTAACCCATCACATTCAGGTAGGCTTTCTATTTGGTATGCCAGGTTGGTTCAGCATACACAAATCAAAACGTAATTCATTACGTCAACACAACTTAAAACAGAAACCACATGATCTTCTCAATATATGCAGAAAAGGCTTTTGATAAAATTCACTGTCATGTCATATTAAAAACCATCAACAAACTAACCACTGAAGGAACATACTTCAAAATAATAAGACTCACTCATGACAAACTCAGCCAACATCATACACAGTGGAAAAAGCTGGAAGCATTCCCCTTGAAAACCAGAACAAGACAAGGATGCCCACTCTCACCACTCCTCTTCAACATAGTACTGGAATTCCTGACCAAAGCAGTTAGGCAAGAGAAAGAAATAAAAGGCATCTGAATAGAATGAGTGGAATTTAGACTAATCCTGTTTGCAGCTAATATGATTCTATACCTAAAATACCCATAGTCTCTGTCCCAAAACTCTGAGACCTGATAAATAACTTCAGCAAAATTTCAGGATATAAAATCAATGCACAAAAATCAGCAGCATTCCTATACACCAACAACATCCAAGTTGAGAGCCATATCAAAAATACACTTCTATTTATAAAACAGCTTGGTACCATTACAGAAACAGGCATATAAACCAATTGAACAGAATAGAGAGCCCAGAAATAATGCTGCTAACCTACAACCATCTGATTTTTGACAAAGTCGATGAAAGCAAGCAATGAGAAAGACTCCCTGTTCAATTAACGGTACTGGGATAAATGGAAGATTGAAATTGGTCCCCTTCCTTACACCATATACAAAAATCACCTCAAAGTGGATTAAAGACTTAAACGTAACATCTAAAACTATACCAACCCTGGAAAATAACCTAAGAAATACTATCTGGACACAGGATCTGGCAGAGATTTCCTGATGAAGATGAGAAAAACACTTGCAACAAAAACAAAAATTGACAAACAGGGCCTAATTAAAGTAAAGAGCTTCTGCACAGCAAAAGAAACTATTAACAGAGTAAACAGACAACCTACAGAATGGGAGAAAATATTTGCAAACTATGTACTGACAATGGTCAAATAATCCAGAATCTTTAAAGAACTTAAAGAATTTAACAAGCAAAAACCAAAAAACTTCATTAAAAAATGGGAAAAGAACATGAACAGACACTTTTCAAAAGATGACATAGACATGGCTAAAAGAATATGAAAAAATGTTCACTAATCATTAGGGAAATTCAAATCAAAACCGCAGTGAAATACCATCTCACACCAGTCATAATGGCTATTATTAAAATGTCAAAAATTAACAGATGCTGGCGAGGTTGTGGAGAAAAGGAAAAGCTTATATAATGTTGGTGGGAACGTAAATTAGTTCAGCCATTGTGGAAAGCAGTTTGGCAGAATTACCATTTGACCCAGTGATCCCATTATTGGGCATATACCCAAAGGAATATAAATCATTCTATCATAAAGACACACGCTGATGTATGTTCATTACAACACTGTTCACAATAGCAAAGACATGGGATCAACATAAATGCCCATCAATGATAGACTGGATAAAAACAAAGGTGGTGCATATACATCACGGAATAGTATGCATCTATAAAATAAAATGTTGACCATGTCCTTTGCAGCAATGTGGATGGAGCTGGAGGCTGTTATCCTAGGAAAACTAACAGAGGAACAGAAAACCAAATATTGTATGTTCTCTTTTAAGTGGCAGTAAACACCGAGTACATATGGACACAAAGAAGGAAAGAACAGACATGGGGGTCTATTGAGAGTGGAAGCAGGAGGAGGGTAAGAATAAAAAAACTACCTATTGGATACTATGCTTATTACCTGGGTGGTGAAATAATCTGTACAGCAAACTGCCGTGTCATGCAATTTATCTATATGAGAAACCTGCACATGTACCTCTGAACCTAAAATAATAGTTAAAAAGAAATAAAGTGGTGAAGTACTAAAAAAGTACACATAAAGGAAAGAGAAATAGCATTTACAAAACAACTATGTTAACAATATGGAGAATTAAAACCTAATCTCCATTTTTACAAATAGAAAACTGTGTCTCATGGGAAGATAACTTAGGCCAGGTGCAGTGGCTCAAGCCACCCATCACTTTGTGTGGCTAAAACAAGAGGATTGCTTGAGGCCAGGAGTATAAGACCAGCCTGGACAACATAGTGAGACCCCCATTTGTACAAAAACATTAATGAAAAGGAAAACAAACAAAAAAAGGTTGACTTATTTTTTTTAGGTTTCTATACTACTTAGTGGCCAAGATAGAATTCTCACCCAGTATACTTTAGTAAAAAGGTCTTAGTTTTTAAAATAAAGTGTAAAATGTTCAAATCCTTGCTATTTACACTGATGACAGTTATGGACAACACAGTTCTGTCTTTACAAACACATGACACAAATGTTTGCAAGGCTGTGGAGAAAAGGAAATGGTGATACACCGTTGGTGAGAATTTAAATTAGTTCAGCCACTGTGGAAAGCCATTTGGAGGGTTTTCAAATAACTTAAAAAAAAAAAAAAACTACATCTAGACCCAGCAATCTCACTACTGGGATATACCCAATGGAAAATAAATCTTTCTACCAAAAAGGCACATGTACCCATATGTTCACAGCAGCATCATTCCCATCAGCAAAGACATGAAATCCACCTAGTTGCCCACCAACAGTGGACTGGATAAAGAAAATGTGGTGCATATACACTATGGAATACTATGCAGCCATAAAAAAGAATGAAATCATGTCCTTTGCAGCAACATGAATGCAGCTGGAGGCCATTATCCTAAGCAAATTAACAAAGGAACAGAAAACCAAATACCAAATGTTCCCACTTATAGATTGAGTATACACAGACATGGAGATGGGAATAATAGACACTGGGGACTACCAGAGGGAGAGGGGTGGGAGGGGCTGAGGGTTAAAAAACTTTCAGGTACTACGTTCTCTACCTAGGTGATGGAATCATTCATACATCCAACCTCAGTGACACACAATTTACCCATGGAACAAACCTGCACATGTAACCCCTGAGCCTGAAATAAAAGTGAAAAAAAAGCAAAAAAAATCCTTCACAAAAACTTGAAAAATACAGAAGAGGAGGAAAATTAACAATTTATTTTTTGAGGTATTACCCAGATTACAAAACCAGACAAAAGCATCACAAGAAAAATACTGTACAGACCATCATCCCTCATGAATATAGATCTAGAAATTTAAAATAACTCTAGCAAACAGAATCTAGCAACATGTAAAAATGTTAGACAACATAACCAAGTGAAATTATTTCACAAATGCAAATTTATTTTAACATTCAAAATTTAATTAATGTAATATACCATGTTAATTTCTTAAAAAGTACAGTATCTCCAAATTCAATAAAACGATAGTTTCTGTTTCATTTCTCAAACAATCTTCATAAACTGGGCCATGCCCAAAGCAAATTCATACAGGCTATTACAAGAAAATAAATTGTAGCCTTTTGGGATTTTCTTAGAAACAAATGAATCATCTGTGGCCATGCACACAGACAATCTGTACTTGGTATGAACACATCAGTATTGCAAGAATAGTACCAGGAGTTCTGCTTATACATTTTTGCATTGGATGATGAAAATTATCTTATGAGAAAAAGTAAAATCTGTATGACATCTTTTAAAATCTAAACTGAAAACTTATTCAGTTTGTTTAGCTGCTCATTGCATACTTGAGCACAGTCAACAAATGAGATTCTTCTCAGATTCCCTTGGATCTAAGAGTGCCCATGACAGCTAAGGGAGTCTCAGGGGAATATAAGCAGCTATATGCTAGAATTTCTGGGAAGAAATATGTGCTTTTCTTATTTAGACACCACCCAGTCTTTCTTGCCTTGACTTCCTGAAACACAACTATGATGACTGAAAGAGGTGCTATAGAGCTATTGTAGTGGCCCTGTAATATCTACCCACAGATCCTTTAATCAAGAGTTAAATAAGAATACAGGCTAGGGGCAGTGGCTCACACCTGTAATCCCAGCACTTTGGAAAGCCAAGGTGGGCGATTGCTTGAGCCCAAGGGTTCCTGACAAGCCTGGGCAACATAGTGAGACCCTGTCTTTACTAAAAATACAAAAATTAGCTGGGCATGGTGGCGTGTGCCTGTAGTCCCAGCTACTCAGATACTGAGGTGGGAATATCTCTTCAGCTGGGAGGTTGAGGCTACAGCAAGCTGTGATCGTGCCACTGCACTCTCAAAAAGTTTTATTTACTTTGGAGACAAGGTCTCATTCCATATATATATATTATTTTTATATATATATATAAATAATATATATAAATATATAAATAATATATATAATATATATATATCACCATATTAATTTTTTAAAAGGTACAGTATCTCCAAATTCAATTGAGCATACACAGACATGGAATTTTATATATATACATATCTCCTCCCTTCCTAAAGGGGTATATTTTTTCTAATATGCAATTAGAGTACAGGCACATAACCATGATGTACTTGAACTTTGTTGATTTTTGGTTCGCCTATACTTTTGGGGTACAGCCCTCTACATGTTCCTATTAAAATTCTGAACCCCTCCTCATCAACAGCCCTGCGCTCTAATTTTGTTCTTCTAACACCATAACACTGTTAAAACTCTGCTTCAATATGAAGCCAGTTAGCATCTACTTTCTATTTCTTTCCTGAGCATTTCTTCTCTGATGTTTTATTTCTTCTTACATGGACATCTTAGGAATTTTCATATAACTCAATGGCAAAGTGTCTTATAAGAGTTATTCACTTCTCTGTGGATTACATTTTTTTTCTACTTCACCACTTTATTATATATATAATATACATATACACACACCATATATACTAGTATATATTTTATATATATAGGTATAGATATATATATAGATATGTATATCTATCTATCTACCTATCTATCTATATATATATATACACCACTACTATTTGAGTTTTATCTTATATGGAGTATAGCACAGTGATAAAAAGCATGGCTTCTGGAGTCAAATTTTCTCTGCTCAAATACAGCTCTGCAATTTACTAGATATGTGACCTTGGGCAATTTGTTTATACTCTTATTTCTTTAGTTTTCCTGGTCTGTAAAATGAAGATAACATTGAGATAACCAAAGGGGTTAATGTTATAAATGATTAAACAGTGAGAAACTTTCATTTTAGACTTTGACATAGCAGTTGATGTCGTATCAATACCCTTGTTGAGAGCAACTATAAAAGCTGGATAAAATTAATTTTGAAACTATTGGAATGTATCAGAATGCAATAAAGGAAGTAAGATCTTGACCAGCCAACATCTTAAATAAAAGAGAAACCCACTGAGGTTAAGAAGACTGCTAACATTTGGGTATTGGCTAATTCACATCACAGGACACAGAAGCTAAAAAGAAAGTACTTCTCTGGAGTTTGAGACAATCACACTGAACATTAGAGGCAAATGTTGGATTTCAGGACAACCAATACAGCCAGATAAAAGAAAAAGAAATAAAGTGGTGAAGTAGAAAAAAAATGTAATCCAGAGAAGTGAATATGTCTTATAAGATGCTTTGCCCTTGAATTATATGAAAATTCCTGAGATGTCTATTTAAGAAGAAATAAAACATCAGAGAAGAAATGCTCACGAAAGAAGTAGAAAGAAAATGCTAAGTGGCTTCATACTGAAGCAGAGTTTTAACCGTGTTATGGTGTTAGAAGAACAAAATTAGAATGCAGCGCTGCTGATGAGGAGGGGTTCAGAATTTTAATAGGCACTTCTAGAGGGCTGCACCCTAAAAGTATAGGCAAACCAAAAATCAACAGAGTTCAACTACATCATGGTTATGTGCCTGTACTCTAATTGCATATTAGAGAAAATATCCTCCCTTTAGGAAGATAATATCCTCTAGGTCATATCCAAGTTTTCACATACAATGTTCAGGATTAAATAATAATAATAACAAATAACACATTCTCTGTATTAGCCTGCTTTCCACACTGCTATAAAGAATACTACCTGAGACTGGGTAATTTATAAACAAAAGAGGTTTAATTGAATCACACTTCTACATGGCTGTGTGGAAACCTCAGGAAACTTACAATCATAGTGGAAGGTGAAGGGGAAGCAAGGCATGTCTTACATGGTAGCAGAAAAGAGAGTGAGGAAGTGCCACACTTTAAAACCATCAGTTCTCAAGGGAACTCAATCACTATCATAAGAATAGCATGGGGAAACTACACTCATGATCCAGTCACCTCTGACCAGGCACTTCCCTTGACACATGGGGATTATAATTCTAGATGAGATTTGGGTGGGAACACAGAGCCAAACCATATCAAACATCATGCAAGGAAATAGAAACAAAAAATAAACACCAATAAAGAGAATTTACAGATGTTAGAAACAGCATTGTAACATATTGACACATTGCAATCATCATACGTAGACTTTAAAATATCGGTAAGTAATACTTTTAAAACTAGATAAACATAGATAATTTTACCTCCAAACTAATTATTTTTAAAAGTTGCATTCCTGAAACTTAAACAAATTAAGAATTCAATAGATAGTTTTTAGAAGAGAATAAGTACAGCTAGAGATAGAATCAGCAAATGGAAAACATAGTTCACTAGGGCTACCAGAACAAAATACCATGTAAATAACACAAATTGGGTGACACAGACAACAGTAACTTATTTTCTCACTGTTCTGGAAGTTAAATGTCCGAGATCAGGTCTTAGTAGGTTTGGTTTCTTCTGAAACCTCTCTCTTTGGCTTGCAGATGGCCATCTTACTTCTGTGTCTCTACATGGTCTTTTCTCTACATGAGGCACTCTTAGTGTCTCTTTGTTTGTCCAAATTTCTTCTTCTTATAAAGATCCAAGTCAGGTTACATTAGGTCCCATCCTAATGGCCTCATTTTAATGTAATCACCCCTTTAAAGACCTTATTTTCAAATACAGTAACATTCTGAGGTTATAGGAATTAAGTTTTCAACATATAAATTTTGGAGGGACCACAATTTAGCTCATAACAATAAATCAATAGAAAAGATTGAAGTACAAAGAAACAAAATAAGGTAAAATGAGTTTTTACAAGAAGAAGAACATAAAATACACATGGGACATAGTGAAAAGCCTACTGCTCAAATAATTTCAGCCCTAGAGAAAAATGTAGAAGATCCATGGCAGAAGCAATATTTGAAGACATAATGGCCAATACAATTTCTAAAATTCATAAAATATATTATACTGTAGTTATAAAATTTCTAAACTATCCAAACAGAGTGAAGTCAAAGAGAGGCACTCTTCACCATCTCATAGGAAAGCTCATCAAAACTAAATAAAAAGAGAAAATTATGAAAGCAGCCAGGATACAGACACACACACACACATACACACACACAATTCCTTGACAATATCTTCATAGGGATGACTACAAGAGTGAGAGCTGGATTTTCAACACAAATAATATAAGCCAGAAGAAAATGGTATACCAAGATATATACCAAAATTATGAAATGACTATTGTTTCTAGTTTCTGAAAGATGTTATAAAAGACTGATGAATTTCTAAAATGGAAAGCAAATATAATAGAAATATAGGTATACAGGTAGATATATATGCAGTTAGGTAGATAGTAAGATGTCACCAAGTGATGGTATTCTATGGATGAAAGAGGTCTTTAACAGTTAAAATACCATCCACTGTAATTTTACGCATTTAAAGAATAAAGAAAAATTCTATATTCATATAAAAATACATAGAAAAATTTTTGAATAAAGTCAACATATATTCAAGAAGAGCACTCAGTAAGTTAAAAATATAAAAGGAACTTTAAAAAATTATGAAAAAGGATATCTTTAAAAACAGACATCAAATGTCACACTTAGAGGGCAAAGTGTTAAAAGTTTTATTCTGAAAATGGAAAAAGGAAATAGCATCTGCTATGAACAATTCTATTATAATTTATATTAGAGAATCTAGCCAGCACAATAAGGCAAGAGATAGAAATAAAAAGTGTAAGTTATGGAAAGTAGGAACTAAAACTGCCATTCTTCATAGAACCTGTGATTGAATACAATCTGAACATATGAAAGAATCTACTAAATAACCCATTAGAATAAGTGAATTGATCAAGCCACTGGTCACACAGTCAATACACTGAAATCAATTGTATTTTTGTTAGTCACACATACACAATTAAAATTTCAAGAAAAAATATTTTATTTACAATAGCATTTAAATACGTCAAACAACTTGTAAGTAAATCTAATGAAAGATGTGTAAGATCTCTACACTGAAATACATAAAACATCAGTGAGTGTTCTATTTCTAATATGGCAAAATAAGTTTTTTCCAGAACAGCTATCCCACACATAACAGACAAACTCCCTGGAGGGTGGGCTATGGGAAAGGAGGGCTAAAGGTTGAAATCCCGTGAAAATAGCAAAAGTAAATAGATTTTAAATAGGAGACATCAGGTAGAATAAGAGCATGGCATAGTGTCACTTTCCCATATTTTAAAGGATTTTTAGCTGATGGTAGGCTGCATTCAGCTACATGAAAAATGACTAAAACTCCACAAGAATACTTGCAGTTTTTCCAACTTGAAGAAACAAAGGAGAGTTTTGCTACTCCTTGTATTTTAAAGCCCTTGTAATGTTCATGTTTAGGATTGTTATGTCTTGCTAATGAATCAATTTTTGTGTCATTATGAAATGCCTTTTTTCCCCCTGGCAATGCACATTTTATTGAAATCTACCTTAGCTTATATTATTTATAGCACTCTTTAGGAAGTTATTTAAAAAGGGCCATGAGTATGTTTCTATGTTGAAGAGACATGCTGTTTCTTAATTTGGGAACTGGTTACACAGGTGTGTCGAGTTTGTGAAAATTCATCAAGCTATATACTGTTATGAACATGTATTTTTTTGTATGTATTTTATTCATCAAAATGACTTTAAAAGGCTTCTTATTAGACCAACAGTTTTCTAAAAGTGCTCAGAGCTGGAGCTGTCAGAATCCACGAAATCAAAAAGCTACTGACTTTTGAGAGCTGCAGTTGTTTCAGAAAACCTGCAGTTCCAGCATCTCATTCTATAGATAAGGGAGATAAGGCCCAGAAGGAATGGGCTTAGAACAAAGCCTGGAGCCCATGTTCTCTCTCTAGTATGGGGCTCAACAGTGCTTGGTCATTGATGCAATTGATGCTACCCATATCTGCCAGTTTCCCAGGCACTTCTAGAAGGGGTGAGTATTGGATAAAGTAGGCAACTGATAACAAAGCTTTCCTAACTTCAGTTGTCCTCTGAGCTAGCATTGTCTGCAATTATGTCCTTATTCTGTTCTCAAAAGGGCTTTTTATGAGACAACTTTCCCCCAGGCAATGTAGACTTGCCTAATTGGAAAAACACTGGAAGTACAGGTGGGGTTAAGAGATTTTTGCCAAGCAAAACAGCATGGATCACATAAAATTCTTTCTGAAAATGACTAAGGGATAATCTCTAAGGAGTTTGCTAACCCTGGTAATGCTTCTTGCATTGTGAATTAAAGAATGAGCACACAAACTTTCTTTGAGAAAACCATATAAAATTTTAAAAAGAGCAACCTCATGGGGCTGGGGGATCAGGATTCTAAGAGAGGACGGCAGGATAGATAAGGTTTGGAAGTAGCAACCTCATCATTGTGCCTTTGTGGTTTTTTAATGGGTTTTAATTATCTTCTCCAAAGGAAGAGATGTTGATGGATATTTTCGTGAAAGTCAGACACTTAGCATTCATTGCATGATCATTATATTAGGTTTTTTAGAGTAGGAAAATAATGTCTCGCTGGACATAAGACAAAACTGCTGGGCAACTATTCATTTATGCAGTGGGTTGGATTGAATTTTGGCATCAACTGTGACACCAGCTGCTCCTTTCAGAGTCATGAGGGGCAGCTGCAAACATAGTACAAACTCAGCTCACTCTAGAAGCAGCAGCATTTCCGTGGGTGGCTACCATGGGAACACGACTAACAATAAGTGCAGTCTGGCCACTGACTTCTGAGAGTGCTTCTGACTATATTTTCTAGTACTCAGGGTGTCAGGCATCAATATAAAATAAATGGAGCCTGAGATGGAAATTCACAAAGCAGGAGTCACGAAAGGTTTGGATGAGAGAATAAAATGTGGTCACTCCACATCTGTTATAGTATGCTTCAGCTGCCATAAAAAAACACCATAGACTATGTGGCTTAAACAGTGGAAATTTATTTTCATACAGTTCTAGATGCTGGGAAGTCCAAGATCAAGGTATCAACCTGTTAATTCCTTGTGAGGACTCTCACTGGCTTGCAGGCAGCTGCCTTCTTGCTGTGTTCTCACATAGTAGAAAGAGAGAGCTCTGCTGCCTCTTCCTCTTCTCATATGGGTACCAGTTATATCAGATTAGGGCTCCACCCTTATGGCTTCTTTTAACTTTAATTGCCTCCTTAGAGACAACCTCCAATACAGTCACGATGGGGGAGTGGGTTGCATATCAACATATCAATTTGGGGGTGAAACAATTTAGTCCATACCACCATCTAACCACTGAAAATCATGTCTCTAAATCAACGAGTATAGCACCTGTATAAGCAATTTCCTGCCCTGCATCCCTGTCTGCTTGAAAAAACTGAAGTGTTATAGTTACTTGTTATTCTGTCTGGACATTAACTAGTCACCAAAGGGAGTTTAATAAAATGAAGATTCTCAGAGTCCATAATCAGTGATTCTGATTTAGAACATCTAGGACAGAGTTTGGCATATATCTACATCTGTATCTATAACTATATCTATTTATGTATCTAGCTAGCTAGATAGGTAGGTATATGCCACTTGTTTACAACAATAAATATAATACCAAGTATATGTAAGTATAATATAATACTAATAACATAATACTAAGTATATAGTGTGTGTGTATATATATATGTGTATATATATATATACACACACATACGTAATTAGCAAGTGCATCAGGAGATTCTGATGGAAGTGATCTATGGCTTATATTTTGAGGAGAGTTTCTTAAAATATTATGTTGAAAGTCTGAAGTCTATTCTCATTGCAAACATTTTTGTAGAGACCTCTTTCCCGACACTAATACAAGAAAGTAAGCATTCTTTACTAATTGTTTAGGCTAAGATTTCTAGATGAGTAGTAGTCTACAACTAAATGGATTTAATAGACTTACTAGTTGAAATCATGAGCTGCCCAAATAAATTGTCATGAGATGTGCGGTGTATTGGCCTTCAGCTCCAGTCAAGCCTGTGATGTCAGGGTGGGTAAAAATTTTTACTGACAAAGACTAATGAATAATCTCTTATTGCATTTCCAGACTCACTTGCCAGCTATATTCTAGTTTATTTGCCAAAGGGTGGTACTGGAAGGACATTGGAAGAGAGAGAAAAGAACAAACATGGCAGTGCACCTAGGTGCTGCACACAAGTGGTGCGGTTTCAGGGCAACAGCAGTAACAATGGCATTGCCTCCAGCAAAGCAGAGGCAAGAGAGAGCTGAGTTCCAGCCCAGGGATGGTAACAGCTTCCAGCTCTTTGGACAAACTCCTCATCTCTTGGGCTCTGCTAATGGCCTCTTTGCCCCATTCATTCCTCCAGTCTTTCTGATACCTGTGTAAGCAATACCCTGTATTATGCTCCTCTCTGCTTGAAAGACCTAGAGTGGTTTCTTATTCTGGCTGGACACTGACTGTTACACTTGGTAGATTATTAAACTATTTCAAGCTATTTTTTCAGCAATCTCATCTACAAATTTAGGAAAACAAAAGAGATATAATAGAAGAAAAGGAACTTCCTTCTTCTTAAATTAATAATGCCATTTAGTCATAATGTTGTAGTTCAAAAATTAATTTCCAAAAATTGTCCCATTCAATCATAACATTAATGGTGTGGTTTAGATTTTACATCACCATTTGATTCATACATGATAAAGTGTGTACATTATTTGTCTAAGGTCATATAAAAATTACAGAATTACAACCTGAACTCAGACCTTTTGACTCCAAGAACAGAATGATTTGTCTTAAAATTCCATCACTAAATCTAAGAAAAATGCTTTTAAAATATAAATCCTTAGGTTTCATGAATTTCTCTGGTCCATAAGAAGAAAGTCTATATGTAAGCCTAAATGCACAGGGTTTTTTCTGTACAGGTAACTACAGTATTTTATTGTTTGTTTGAGCAGACTCAAGAGCAAATATTTTCTTTGGGCCTTAGCATATGCTTAAGGTAGATGGATGTAAATATGATACAAAAAAATTAGAAAAGACTCCTTTTTAACTATAAAATGTTTATGTTTCTTTGACCCTAGTCTGTGATTCTTAATTGTTAATCTCAATGGTGTGTTGTTCTGGAAAATACAAAATTTTAATTATTTGGGATAATGAGAGACAGCATGTGGCCTTCGCAGATAGTGTCCCAAGCTTGCAAAATTTTTTCACACAAGATCACACTTACACACTGTGACAGGTTACACCATTTCCCAAGATGATGCACCATCTGGCCAAGGGAAGAAAACAAGGATTGGCTCTGTTGTTGTTTAAATATAATGCTGTTTTCAAGCTGAGATTCAATAACTATGGACAGGCCATACGAGAGACTCACAGGTGCTTTTAAATCACGATCTTTATTTAGATTTGTGGTAAGGTCATGGAAAGGGGTAAATATCAGAAATCGCATTGTTCTAAAATTACTGAACAGTCATTTTATTTTTAAACTGTAATAATAAAGATTTACAAACTGAGGACATGAAAACTTAAAGAGAAATGTCTTGATTTTTATTTTTAGTGAATATGAATTTCTGAGATCTCTTGTACAATATTAAGACATATAAAAAGGCATATATAATGCCCCCTCATGAGCTGTTACCACAGATAAGAATCTCTTGTGAATTATTTAACCAGGTAACAATTGCTTTGACTAGAATCCCAACCCATGATGATTTTTATTCATCCTCTATCAACAATAGAGTACAAATATATTTTAAGAAATTTTGTCTTAATAAAAGTAATTAGAGTAAAGCAAATGATACCCCAGTTTATTGTAAAAGTGTTTTTTTAATTCCTTAATTATTCATTTTCTCTATCCAATTTCCAACGTTAAAACCACATGAAAGTTTGAAAACTTATTGAGGCAGAAGATACACACAGGGGTATGAAAACACTTAGAATTAGAATTAGCTTATAAAGTATATCTTGCAGATTAGGCATACTTTAAGCATGAAGACTCACTGAAAAGAAGGAAGAAAGAAATTCAGTATACGAGGTAAATAAAATAATCAGACTGGGATATATAGCTCATTTTTTCTTCAGTATTCCAGAATGATCTCATCAGCCATAGGCTTCTTGGTGGCTTAAACTCATTTCCTGCTGACTTTCAAGAGACCTATAGAACCCTGCACTTGGCAGTGACCCGTGGGCTTTGGGAACTCAAGGGGAGAAAGTGGAATGAGAAGTCAGATCACTGGACTAACTGTAATTGGCTACCCTTTCTTGCTCATTTTTTGAGCATATGCAAATTACTTACATAGTTTACACTGCAGATTTCCTGTTGATTACCTTGATTGGGACAACTCTTTCTGATTTTGGCAAGGACAAGGGAAAGCACTCAAAGCAGGAGGCTGCCATGGTGCTAACTCTCCAAGCTAATTTACAAACATGAACACATTGGGAGATTGAGCTTGATAGTCTCTCAATTTTGTTATTTCCTCCAATATGGCAATAATCATGTATTTAGATCACATGAGGAAATATGTACACCTAAAGTATTTAATTTTTTCTCCTTGACCACATAAATGGGAGATACACTAGGTCTACAATATTCACAAACATGAAGGTTGAGTTACTTGTCTTATTTACAAGCATTCTGTTATTATCTTCAAGCCATCCACAAATTTGTCCTTAGGACTTTTCCCATGATGATGTAGGAAGAGCAGAGATTTCTCTGTTTTTAGGAAGTGTTAGTTTTATTTGCATACAGCTTTTCATGCTATAATATTATTCATATGAGGTGAGGAATCAAGTAATGGTACATGCACAGTGTCACATTTAAGGAAAATTTTGTCCCACTTCGTTATATCTCAAATGGGTTCTTGGCTTAATTGCAAATATTAATAGTCTGTATCTTTATTTCCTTTCTGAAAACTCTTCTTCTGAATTATTTCTTTTTCTTGATAATTGAGAAAATATAAGCACAATATTTATATTCCAGCTATGTCTACCTGCTAACCACTCTTCTTTTTATAAAGTATTTTTAAAGGGTAAATTAATTGTAACTGATAGTATTATAGTATGTAACCATGTTATGGTATGTAACATTATAGTACATATATTCTTTTTACATAACTTCATACTACATGATAACATATTTTATAATTTCCCAATACCCACTATGTTTCCTCAAAGGTTATCATAAATATTTAGTGAGATAGCCCAGAGAATGCTTTTAGCCAACTGGCTGCACATAATAAGCATTTGTTATGTAAAAATTAATCAAAATGTAGTTCAACATGCTAATGTAAGGTTTACATAAGATAACTATGTAAAGGAAGAGATTTTCATTGTAGTTCCATACATCTTAGTTTCCTCCCTTTGTATTTGGTCAGCTCTTGGACTCAGTTCAGGGAACTCAGGTGAGGCAATGACTCAAGAACAAAAAAGCAAGCCAATTGGCCATTCAGGTCATTCATCAGTCTCATTTAGCATTGCACAGGTGAAAGAGAACAATGACAATGTGGAGAGACTAAAGCCTAACAACCTAAAACTTGTAACCTCGAGTTTTCGATAAAGCAAAATTCAATTCGGGTAACAAGTGATATTGAGTAACTAGTATGTCCTTTGCTCTGTATAACAAAAAACGGTAGTATCATGTTTATGATTAAAAATATTAGCTTTGCTGGAGGCATCAGGCTACCTGACTTCAAACTATACTACACGGCTATAGTAACCAAAACAGCACGGTACTGCTACCAAAACAGAGATATAGACCAATGGAACAAAACAGAGCCCTCAGAAATGATACCACACATCTACAACCATCTGATCTTTGACAAACCTGACAAAAACAAGAAATGCACAAAGGATTCCCTATTTAATAAATGGTGCCGGGAAAACTGGCCAGCCATATGTAGAAAGCTGAAACTGGATCCCTTCCTTACACCTTATACGAAAATTAATTCAAGATACATTAAAGACTTAAATGTTAGACCTAAAACCATAAAAACCCTAGAAGAAAACCTAGGCATTACCATTCAGGACATAGGCATGAGCAAGGACTTCATGTCTAAAACACCAAAAGCAATGGCAACAAAAGCCAAAATTGACAAATGGGATCTAATTAAACTAAAGAGCTGCACAGCAAAAGAAACTACCATCAGAGTGAACAGGCAACCTTCAAAATGGGAGAAAATTTTTGCAATCTACTCATCTGACAAAGGGCTAATATCCAGAGTCTACAAAGAACTCAAACAAATTTACAAGAAAAAAACAAACAACCCCATCACAAAGTGGGCGAAGGATATGAAGAGACACTTCTCAAAAAAAGACATTTATGCAGCCAAAAGACACATGAAAAAATGCTCATCACTGGCCATGAGAGAAATGCAAATCAAAACCACAATGAGATACCATCTCACACCAGTTAGAATGGTGATCATTAAAAAGTCAGGAAACAACAGGTGCTGGAGAGGATGTGGAGAAATAGGACCACTTTTGCACTGTTGGTGGGACTGTAAACTAGTTCAACCATTGTGGAAGACAGTGTGGCGACTCCTCAAGGATCTAGAACTAGAAATACCATTTGACCCAGCCATCCCATTACTGGGTATATACCCAAAGGATTATAAATCATGCTACTGTAAAGACACATGCATACGTATGTTTATTGTGGCACTATTCACAATAGCAAAGACTTGGAACCAACCCAAATGTCCATCAATGATAGACTGCATTAAGAAAATGTGGTACATATACACCATGGAATACTATGCAGCCATAAAAAATGAAGAGTTCATGTCCTTTGTAGGGACATGGATGAAGCTGGAAACCATCATTCTCAGCAAACTATCACAAGGACAAAAAACCAAACACCGCATGTTCTCACTCATAGGTGGGAATTGAACAATGAGAACACTTGGACACAGGAAGGGGAACATAACACACTGGGGCCTGTCATGGGGTTGGGGGAGGGTAGAGGGATAGCATTAGGATTTATAGCTAATGTAAATGACGAGTTAATGGGTGCAGCACACCAACATGGCGCATGTATACATATGTAACAAACCTGCACGCTGTGCACATGTACCCTAGAACTTAAAGTATAATAAAAAAAATTAGCTTTGCTTAATAATGACATTTAATAATGACATTTCATAATGCTAGGTTATTCAAATTTTACTGTCAAAAACTAATATCTATTAATAACATAGATTTAATTGCTACTAGAAATATATTTTCTAAAGGAATTTAGGGCCCAGATGTATGAAAGAGGAATGCCTGAAAAAAAAATTAGAAAGCAGGTTAATACACCGTTAAATTAATATTATATGTGAAAAGCAGATATGCAATGAATGACATTCAAAAGAAAATCACAAATGTGTTTACCTAGGTATAATAAAAGCTTAGGACTACAAAGATTAAAAGACATAGCACAGTATTGGAAATATGTCAGCCACAAGGCTCAGAAATAGAAGGTTACAATCAAGTATATACCTATTATGTACCCACAAAAATTAAAAATAGAAAAATCAAGCAAACCAACTGGACAAACATTGAAATTTTTTATAAAAAGAGACAAACACAAATAGGAGATTAACAAATAGGAATACCAATGCCTAAAACAAACACAACAGAGATGTTAAAATTTTATTTTAAAAATTTAAAGTAATACAGATTAAGACAATACAATGTCATTTTTACCTATCAAATGAGTGAGTATTTGGTAAAAGAATAATTCCCAATAATGGTGGAGTCTGTTAATAGACACAGTTATACTCTGTTAGTTAGAATGTAACTTGCTGTTAATCATAGAAAAAAGGATATATTAATACAAATACAGTAGGTATCAGAGCAAAAAGTATAACCAAAGATCAAGAAATCATTTTATAATGTTTAGTGTTTCAGTTCATTAAGAAAATACAACAATCTTAAACGTATAAACAGTTAATAACACAACTTCAAAATATACGAAATAAAAACTGCTAGAACCTCTAGGAGAATTAAACAAATCCACAATTATAGTCAAAGCTTTTAATTGTGTTCTCTCAATACTTCAGATGTTAAGTTCTCAATACTTGAGAGAACAAGTATAGAGAAAATAAGTAGATGTTGAAGATTTGAACACTACTGACTAGCTCAATCTAATTGACATTTATAGAACACTTCAGCCCAGAACAGCAAAACACACATTCTTTTCAAATGCACATGAAACAATAACTTACATATAATATATTCTGAGACATAAAACAAGTCTCAATAGATTTAAAGAGATAGAAGTACTATTAATATAAGCATGTTTCCTGACCACAGTGAGATTAAATTAGAAATCAATAGCAGAAAGATCCATGAAAATTCCCTTAATGTTCGGTTAACAAAAATTAAATTTCTAAATGGCACATGGGTTAAGAAAAAAATCAGAAGCGACATTAGAAAGCATCGTTAATGGAGTAAAAATAAAAACACAACATGTCAAAAATTGTGAGATGCCACTAGCTACTACTGTAGTGCCTAAGGGGAATATAGCACTTAACATCTACATTAGAAAAGAAGAATGGTCTCACAGCAGTAGGCTCAGCATCTACATTAAGAAATAAGAAAAAGAAAATCAAATTAAACAAAATTTAAGAAGAAAGGGAATATGAAAGATCAGAATGGAAACCAATGAAACAGAAAGCAGAAAACCTATTCGGAAAATCAATAAAGGCAAAACTGGTGCTCTGTAAATATCTAAAATGGATAAACCTCTAATCTCACTGATCAGGGATAAAAGTGAGGAGATTCAAATTATTTATATTAAAAATGGGAGAGCTAACATCATTGCAGATTCTACAAATATTGAAAGAATAATAAGGGAATAGTATAATAAACTGTAGCAATAAATCTAATGATATAGATAAAATGAACAAATCCTTTGAAAGATAAAATCTGCCAAAGCTCACTCGTAAAGAAATAGGTAAGCTGAAGAGCTCTATAAATATTTGTAAACAATGTTATTAGTTAAAAATTTTCCCAAATAGAATACTCCAGACCCTGATGGCATTTTATCGTATTTCAAAGAATCAATAACATCGAAATCTAACAAAATATTTTTTTAGAAAACAGAAGGGAAGTAAACATTGCCAAACTCATTATAAGAGACCAGCGTATTCCTAATAACAAAACTTAGCAGACATCACTAAAAAAGAGGAAGGCAGGAAGGCAGGAAGGTGGGAAGGAAAGAAGGAAGGATGGAAGGAAGAAAGGAAGGGAGGAAGGAAGGAAGGGAGGGAGGGAGGGAGGGAGAGGGAGGGAGGGAGGAAAGGTGCAGACTTATAAAGAAAGTCTTTAAAATATTATCAACTATTGGTGTTGTAGGCTGAATTGTGACTACCCCAAATTTATATGTAGAAGTCCTAACCCCAAGTGCCTCAGAATGTGATTGTAGTGGAAAGAAGTTCTTAAAACAGGTAATTAAGTTTAAATTGAGGTAATTTAAGTGGGTCTTAATCCAATATGAGTGGTATAAGAAGGGGAAATTTGGACACACATGAAGAGGGAAGGTGATATGAAGACACAGGGAGGTGACGACTATCAACAAGCTAGGGAGAGAGGCCTGGAACAGTCCTCAAGAGAAGCCAACCTTGGTGACAACTTGATCTTGGATTTCTAGCCTTTAGAACTGCAAGAAAATTAATTATTTGTTGTTGAAGCCTCCAAGTCTGTGGTATTTTGTTACAATAACCCTAGCAAACTACTATAATTCACAAATTCAATCAGCAGTGTATAAATAAGATAATATATTATGCCATATTAGGGTTTATGCCACAAATAGAAGGTGAGTTGGTTAAAGATTTGAGAATTAATTTATGTAATTCATCATATTAGGAGAATAAATAAAAGTTACTATGGGGTCATTTAAATGAATAAGTCCGAGTCTCAAAACTGAAGAACTTGGAGTCCAGCGTTCAAGGGCAGGAAGCATCCAGCCCGGGAGAAAGATGTAGGCTGGGAGGCTAGGCCAGTCTCTCCTTTTCATGTTTTTTCTGCCTGTTTTATATTCCCTGGCAGCTGATTAGATTGTGCCCACCAGATTAAGGGTGGATCTGCCTTTCCCAGCCCACTGACTCAAATGTTAATCTCTTTTGGCAATACCCTCACAGACACACCCAGGATCAATACTTAGTATCCTTCAATCCAATCAAGCTGACAGTATTAACCATTTTGCATATATATATATATGCCAAAAAAAACCCACTTGCAGCATATGCCACAAATTTCTCTCATACAAAATACAACTCCTATCAGCTAGAAAGAAACAGATCAGTGACCCCCAATCATGGAAAAGGATATAAACTGAGAGTTCACAGAAGGAGACACACAAATAAATGGCTATTAACTATAGTATTAGACATTCAGTCTCATCCATCATGTGAGAAATACAAAGAAAAAAGTCTGAAATACCATTTTTCTCTTAACACAGTATCATTTTTAACAAAATCTTAGCATTTATTGGCAGGATATTATGAAACAGGCACCATCATACACTTTTATTGGTAATACGATTTCAAAAAAATGGTACCCTTATAAAATATTTATTACGCTTTAAATTTTACAGATACTTTGTCTTATTATGTCAGAGGCTTGTCATTACCTACTTATTCTCTAGTCTTTTATTCTCAGTAACACAACATGAATGTGGGTACCTGCAATGAGGATTTATCAACCTTCCTAGCACCTAAGCATGGCGATATGAAAAAGTTGTAGGTCATAAAATACAAATGGAATATTTGTTATATGACCAGCAGAAAATTCCTTTAAAAGATCTGATTCAGCTGGACAGAGCTCCCTTTAGCTAAAACTTGGACATGATGATTGAAGCTACAGCAGACATGCATCCCAAAGTGGCATTGAGGATAGAGACCATAAGCTGAGTGAGCTGACTGTATGGAGGAGCCAAAAGAGGTAAGACTGTTCCCTGTGACTGTCCTTGATGAAAGTACTGTGTTGGCATTCCTGTCCTGTATTAGAATCCATTCCGGTGGATTTCTTCATTTATTTTATTTACTTTTTTTGAGACAAGGTCGGCTCTGTCATCCAGGCTGGAGTGCAGTGGCATGATCTCCGCTCATTGCAACGTCCACCTCCAGGGCTCAAGCCATTCTCCCACCTCAGTCTTCCAGGTAGCTGGGACTACAGGCACATACCAACAGACCCAGCTAATTTTTGTATTTCTTTGTAGAGATCAGGTTTTACCATGTTACCCAGGCTGGTCTCGAACTTCTGAGCTCAAGCAATCCTCCCATCTAGGCCTCCCAAAGTGCTAGAATTACAGGTGTGAACCACCACATCTGGCCTATTCCAGTGGATTTCTTATAGGAAAGACTAAAATGTAAATAAAGATCTTCAAAATGCTTAAGTATATACCAGTAGAGAACTGTTTAACTAGATAATAGTATACAGCCATGTAAGATATCAGCAGTTTAAAGGAATGGTACGGTTTTTTATGACTGATAGGTAATGATCTCTATGATATATTACTTAGTAAAAGATGCAAGATTCCCTGAATCAATGCAAGTGATATTTCAAAGTAGCAGTAATTCCATGAACAAGACAGTATCTAGCAGAGTTCAACCATATAACCACTGGAGAAAAAAAAAAGTGAACATGGACAATTCTCAGTGCTTAAAAGTAAAACAATTTAAATATCAAAAGGTAAACAGTAGTATTCTTGAAGAACTAATGAAGTTCCTAAATATATATTAGTAATGTCTATTCATGTGGTTTTAGCTTGGAGAGTAAAATGTAAAGTAAAGATGTCCTGTAATGCTTTCATACAATTTTGGAGTGAAAATTATTCCAAAATGAAACAAAATTAATATGTTATTCATTTGATTAATTAATGCAATATTATGATTATAATGATAATTTTTGATTACATACAAGATATTACTTGTATGTAGCTTTCAAACCATGTCACAATCAACCTTTTCTTTGTATACTATGAGGCTGCCATATTAATGATGGGATATGCAATTAAATTTGAATTTATATAAACATGAAAAAATTTTAGTATAAGTGTGTCCTATATATGTGTCTTATGCAGTATTTGCATGGAGTATAAGCATATGAAAAATATTTCTTGTTGTTTATCTGACATTTGAATTTAACTAGGTGTCCTGTATCTGTATTTTCTAAATCTGGAAACCACAATACATAATATGCTACTTATCATTTTAATTGTATTTTATTTGGATCATTTCTCTAATACCAATCATCTCAGGAAAATGAAAACTTTCTAAATCGTAATAAAAGTCTAGAAGGAAGTATCATCAGCACTTTTTGTACTTTATTATCCAAAGTTTTTATAAAGAATAAGTATTACCTTTAAATTCAGAAAAATGGTATTTCAGAGCAAAATAACAAAACAACATGATATACTAGTCAGAAGTGCCTGGAGTGTAAAGGGAATTCATCCAATTATAAAGACAACATGTATAAAAACAAAGAAAAAACTGCTAAGTGTTGAAGGATAGGGAAAAAAGCAAACACAATTTTATTTTTATTTTATTGCATTTTTGTTATGGTTTCAGGGAATGTTTTGGTTGAACTCTGTTAGTTTATAAAAGGTTTGTGCTTTCACACCTGATAAAGTGAGAAACAGAATGAACAGGTTGATGAAGGGTGACACTGTGTATGACTCTAAACATTTAGTAAAGAGTAAAATTTGCATAGATCGGTAATTTTTAATTATACATAAGAATTAATAAAAACATCCAAAGGAAGTAATATTAAACAAAGGACAGATATGTGTTGGTATCTTCAGTTATTAAGCCTTACTTGTAAATTTATATAGGGTTAACAATTTTGCAATGACCCATGGTTTTTTGAGTACCTAGAATTCTGCTTGTAACAGAAAAGGTTATTGTATTAGTCAGGGTTCCCCAGAGATAAAGAACCAATAGTATCTATGTATCTATCTATCTATTACATAGAAATATTAAAGATTTATTAGGGGGATTGGTTCATGTGATTATGGAGATTGAGAAGTGCTATGATAAGCCATCTGCAAGCAAGATAACCAGGAAAGATGATAACTTGGCACAGTTCAATTCTGAAGGCCTAAGAACCAGGGAAGCTGATGGTGTAACTCCCAGACCAAGACTGAAGCCCTGAGAATCTGGAGTTTTGATGTCCGAAAAGGATGTCCAAGCTCAGAGGAGAGAAAGAATGAATTATACTTTCCTCTTCTTTTTTGTTCTATCTGAGCCCCCAGCCAATTGGATGATACCTACGTACATTGGGTGAGGGAAGATCTTCCCTACACAGACACTGACTCACATGCCAATCTCCTACAAAAACACCCTCGCAGACACACCCAGAAGTAATGCTTTGCCATCTAACTGGGTATCCCTTAATCCAGTCAGGTTGGTACCTAAAATTAACCACCATAGTTATCCATCAGTGTTTGCTGAATCATTGATAAATGAATGAACAAATTGCATAAAGTGGGTTGCGTGGGATGTTCCAATGTTTATATGCCAGTACCAGTGAATAGCTGCTTTGCATTTCATGTCATATGAGTTATAGAATCTCAGCTCAGCACAATCAGTAATAGTGTGCTGCATATTTTTAAAGAAACAAGTTGCTAAGCATGCACCATTAGGGATCCTTTTTCTTTATACTTCCCAGATGGAACTGAATATTTAGCAACAGTGCCTCAATTACACTTGTGTAATATAACAGAAACTTTCCAAGCTGTTATGTCACAATATCTAGAAGACTACTTGAAACCTGCCTTTAAATCATTCTCCTTATGATCTCTCTCATATTATGCAATACCAGGTCCACTAAGTTGTTTATTTTTCCTTATGGTAGTGTATGCACCAAGGGTCATATAGACAAATAGGTTCATTTTTGTTAACTCTCTTGGTTTGCATTTTCCCTGCTAGGTAATTTATTCTGTTATCACCATCAATAATTGTATTGATGCCCATGGCTGGTATAATACAGCTGGTACTAAAAAAGACTTGCATAATTGAAATGGAAAATACAGCATTTGATATGAGTTCAAACTCAAGAATAATGGTTTTTGTGAACTTGTGTTTACTTTTATTAACTTTCCACAATCAATGTTTTCACTTACTTTGTGTTCTCTTGCATTAAAGCTGATTTGAGTTATTCAAGCTACAGGACACATTTTCTTGATTGTATTTTAGTGAGCAACCATTATGCTAGAAATCAACACAAGGAAATGAAAATGTATCTTCCTGCATCTTAATTAGCATCTGTTTCATTTAGGTAGTGATTACATAAATGTAAAATGGAAAAGGTTTCATGTTGATCTTTCTTTAAAGGTTTTTAAGTCATTTCTATATTAAATTTGGTTTTTGCTTTTCAAATGTCATGAGGGAAGAATAATCTGCAACTAGGTACCAATTGTATAATTTTTTTCTGTTTTGTTGAATATTTTATGTTGTTTCTTAAAAACATAATATTTCAAAGATAACATTAGGAAGAGATTTGTTGCCTAGACCAATGCCAATCGTTTTACTGATGCTATAAACTCTTTTGAAATCTTATATAACAAAGGAAACCCACAAGGTCATCAATAACTTGGGTTTTTCTACTCAATATTGGTCTTAGCCCTTCTATTCCAAGCAGCACTGTCAACAAATGTTTCTTCTTTGGAAAGGCTTTAAGGGTTCAAGCTATAGCAGGCTAGAGGATAGAAGTAGCTAATACTATAGTCTTTTAGAAGTCAGAATAAAACCCTCTACAGGGATGTCTCTGACTTAGTATAAAATGAAAACTATGCTCAGACATTCCTATATAAAAGAAGGTAATTATGAAGGACATAAACAGCAATCATCCTTGCTTCTAAATGTGCAAATTGAATCTATGAAATACATGCAAAAGATTGTCTTCATGGAATTTTTAAAGTAAACTAAGGCCCCAAGTGGATCTGTTGATAAGAGACGGAGGGGAGTAGGGGAGATGATGTTTGAACCTATAACATCAGTGGCCTTAGCATAGATCATATTATTCTTATCTAGCTGAATTTGTATAAAAATTAAGTATTTCTTTTAAACTACTGTCTGTGATCAAGTCAAAAATAATATCATATCTGTTATTTTCCTACGTGTACTGAACTAGTTTTGTGGTGAGATTTATCACCTTCTTGCTTGGAAATTAATGATGTGTGAAGGACTTAATAGCCACACAGTATCCAATGCTCCTGAGGATATCGTGTCGAAATAAAAGTTGTTTTATTCTGGAAATACGTTGCACCATGTGAAATGACTGTGCCTAGGGTGTTTTTTATTCTGTTGCTTTAATCTATCACATAAATTAGCTTTTCAGACACTTTAAGTTAACACAAAAATAGAACTATCTCATCACGAAGAAGAGTTGACTTTTAGATGACCCTGGATTCCAAGGAAGAGCTATATCCATTGAGTCCATGAAAAGCAGCTCTGGGGGAGTCACAATTGGATTGGTAATTAATGATTCAGTGAAAAGGACACATGAAGGTTCAAAGTAGAAAAAAATGATGGTAAGATGGTGATTGCATGAGGTATTTCTGCAAGACAACGTAATACATTTTCACAAAGTAGAAATGTGTTGTCAGGTGGCTAATAAATCAGTCTCCTCACTTCCTTCTGTTTGAAAGTGGCATCTGTTAAAGACACCTTCTCAATCCTTCCTAAATTCCTACTGAAATTTAAAAAATCAAGATTTTGCAACACTCAGGATTAGGATTGAGAGTGAATCAGTATCCAAAATCTACAGGAAATTTACAGTAGTCACAAAATCTATGGTCCAGCAAATGGCAATAAAATGAGGCAAGAAATGGATGGCCCTAGTATGATAAGCTTCCAGACATTGAGCAGAACTTTCATCAAGAAGGAGAAGGGAAAACCATAGCCTGCCCACTGATTTATCATCTGCCCTCTCAGCTGTGGAGATGATGCTATCTGAGAGACATGCAACTGGTCCCATTTTTGCATCATGACAACCAACCTTCAGGAGGCCGTCACTGATGACTTGCCATCCTGCTTCGTTTTCTGAGTTATTTATTTTCCTACCACCTTGTAAAACTACTTCACAAATTCTCCTCTACACTCAGTCCCCAATATCCCCTCCCCTCATACTCAGATGATGAGCTTCTTATTTCACAGAAAATTTTATTTTTAAATGAGAAGAATACATACATGTTTCCACCACAACTGACCAATCTACTTATACGAGTATCCATTTTCTCTTCCTTCCTTTGTATTGCAATAAACTGCTCATCATTGTACACTGGGTCTCCGACCCTCTCAAGGGCTTGCTTTCTCAATTAGTCCTTTTCTCTCCCTCATTTGCAGATTTCTTTCCCCACTGCACAAAAACATCCTGTAAAAATTTTCTCTTTGAACACATCCACACACACACACACACACACACACACCACACAGCAGCCTCCCTTGATCCAACATTTCTTTTCTATCTACCATCACATTTCTGTGTCTCTACTTAAAAAAACAAATCTTTGAATATAGCTATCTGTTTATAACTTCTGTCTCCATATGTCTCTTTTCATTTTCTCTTGATTGCACTCCAATCAATCTTTAGCTCTCATCCCTCCAATAAAATTAATTTTGTTAAGGTCACCAATAGTTCCATATTGCTGAAACCAATGATTAATTCTCACTACTTACATTATTCAAATCTTAATTATTATGCACATAATGAAAAAGCCTCAAAATATGTTATCATTTACAAATATGGAACTCTGCCAAATTTGATCAACCAAAAGGAGAACTAGATAAATTTATAGTTATACTGGGAGATTTTAACTGCACCTTTCTCAGTAACTAGGAGTTTAAGTAGAAAAGAAAAACAGGAAATGGTATAAAAAAATTTGAACACTGTCATTTATCACTTTGTCCCAGTTAAAACTCTATAGTGTGAAATATATATAGTTTTCAAGTGCACATAGAACATTTACCAAAATCATCCATATGATGCTCAGTCAAGCAAATCTTCATAAATCTAAAAAAATTATAATAATTCAGAGTATGTTTTATACTATAAAAATTGAAAATCAATAACTAAAAGGTATTTTTGAAAAGCAAATGTTTGGACTCTAAGAAATATACATCTAGAGAATCTAGGATTGTAAGAAGCAATCAAGTGGAAGCTAGAAAATAATTAACATGAATAACTATAGAAAATATATCAAATGTGTAGATGCAACTAAACAATGCTTAAAGGAAAATGTATAGCCTTAGCTGCATAATCAGAACAGAATAAAGGCTGAAAAATTAATGATCTATGTGTTCATTTCAAGAATTTAGATGAATAACAGATTAACCCAAAGGATGTAGACAGAAGGAAATAATGAAGAATAAATATAAAAGTAGAAACCAATGAAATAGAAAACAAATATACTAGAGAAAAGCGACAAAGGCAAAATGTTACCTGTTAAAAGGACTAATACGTTCGATAAATCTCCGGCAAGGCTAATCTAAAAGAAAATAGAGAGGACAGCATAAAGGAGAGAAGAGAAGGGAAGATGAGAGAGACAGAGAGAGAGAGAGAGAGAGAGAGCTCTAATTACCAATATTGAAAATTGTTTTTAAAGATTTATTTATCTATACATGGGTGTATACGCTATGAAACACTTTAATATAATATTAACAACTAAATGTCAATACATTTTGTAATTTAGATAAATATTTGAATGCACAGAAAAAAAGCAACACTCACCTGAAATAAGTAGAAAACGTGAATAAACCTATAAAGGTAACAGAAATGAATTCTGAAATTCAAAATTATTCCACGAAAACTGAGCAAACTGAAACCAGCAATATATAGAAAGAATAGCATGTCATGACAAAGTGCAGGTTTTTTTTTAACAAAATGCAAAGCTGCTTTAACATTTTAAAACCCAATATTATTCTACATGTAAACCCAATAAAAAAGAAAAGCATTGTCATCTTCTGAAAAGGTACAGAAAAGCTGCATACATTCGTCAGAAAACATCTTAATACACTTGGAATAAAAGATAAGTATCTAATCCCATAAAGAATATTGAGGAAATTTTATAGCAAAAAAATGATACTTAATGGTGAAATATGTAAACCTTTTTCATGAGACTGAAAATGTTGCATTATCACCATTCATATTTGACATCATACTAAAGGTTGTTGCAGCTTTATAAGACCAGAAAAAGAAACAAGATTTACGATTATTAGAAAGAAAGAAATAATTTTCAGACTAGGAATTGAGTACCTAGGAAATTCAAAGAATAATCTTATAATTAATATGTGAATTTAGCAAGGCCACTGAATTTAGTGTCAGTATATAAAAATCAGTTATATTCCTATATACTAGCAACAAATAACCAGTAAATATTGAAAACATTACCCTTTAAGTAGCATCAAAAAGAAACATCAAATATCTAGGAATACATACATTTAATGAAAGGCAAATGTTCCATTTTTGTCTAACATGTAAAGAGATGAAAAGACTGTCCCAACCCAATAATAAGAAAAATTCAAATGAACTAGTAAGTAATAACTTTTTCTGAAGCTGTCAGAGATCTAAGGACACAAAGTAACAAAGAACAATAAATTCTAGTGAGGCACAGGCTTCCCTAAAAAGAAAGGGGACATAGGATTTTCTCACCTGTGGCATACCATGTGTAGTAGTCGTTCTCATGCAGCTAACAAAGACATACCCGAGACTGGATAATTTATGAAGGAAAAAGGTTTAATGGACTCACAGTTCCACATCGCTGGGGAGGCCTCACAATCATGGTGGAAGATGAAGGAAGAGCAAAGGAATGCCTTACATGGTGGCAGCTAAGAGAAAATTTGTGCAGGGGAACTCCCCTTTATAAAACCATCAGATTCATGAGACTTACTCACTATCATGACAACAGCATGGGAAAGACCTACCCCCATGATTCAATTACCTCCTACTGGGTCTCTCCCATGAAATGTGGGAATTATGGGAGCTACAATTCTAAGAGGAGATTTGAGTGGGAACACATCCAAACCATATCATCATGGGAGGAAGAGGTGCCCACCATCATGTAGGAAGTAGGTAAGAAGAAATCAGCTCACCCATTGCTACTAACGGAAAGTCAGAAGAAACACTTCTATACCCCTGGGTGAAGGTAGAAAGGATCCTAGGCCTGGGATTTTATCCATATGAGTAGTGAACTACTACTGCTGCAGAAGAGGCAGGGAAATGTTTCCTGCATAAGAAATTGTACAGTTTCAAATCGGAATAAGACTGAAATGAAGAAGGGATGCATGAATACCTAGCTTGCCTCACCTGCAAAGCTCAGGTGCACAGATCTATGTCAGTTTGAGGATAGGCCAGGAAAACAGAGAACCAACCATGCTTCCCACCAGACGCTGACCAAGCACTGAGGATGCCACTGAGGAGGGGCAGGCCATGGATAGATATCCTCTTGCGGTGTCCTCATTCATTGAGGGTATAATTCAAACATCGATAGGCACCTTCTGGCACCTCAGCCCCCAGCCTAGGCACAATACACACTCAAGGAATTTGAGACCTATGTGTACAGAAAGTAACCATAGCAACAACAAATCCAAACTCAGCTCAACTTTGACAACTCAACACTCCACATAAATCGCCTTACAAAAGAAAAGAAAAACCTTTTTTGGGTGTAAATACTCTTTACCTCAGTCCTTACTACTCTATACACTATGTCTGGGATTTAATAAAAATTCATGAGGCATACAACAATGAAAGGAAAAACAACCCACTATCAAGACACATGGTCATCAGTAAAACCAGTCTTAGAGAACACACAGGTGTTGTGACTATCAGACAGAGACATTAAAATGACTATGATCACTACCTGGAAGATCTGGTGGAAAAAATAGTTATTATGTATGAATGGTTTGGAAATTTAAGCAGAGGGATAGAAATGCAAAGAAAGATCAAATGGAAAAATAAAGAATTTCTTTAGTGGCTCATTAATAAATTTGACACAACTGAGGAAATGATCAGTAACTTGAAGCTAAGTCAATAGAAATTACCCAAATTAAAACACAAACATACACACACACACACACAAAACAGTGAAATGAAAAGAGCCTCTAAAGGCTGTCAAGCAATGATAAATGGTCTAACATACATGTAATTGGTGTTCCAGAAGCAGAATAGAGAGAATTAGGCAAGAAATTAGAAAACAAGCAGTACAAACCAGCGATGTCTGAGAGAAGGAAAACAAATTAGGTGAACCCTACCATTGGCCCAGTTCACTGCCTTCTGGAAGGAGTTTCAAGACCATAGCACAGAGTGGGCAATCTCACTGCACTGGAGTTTGGGGAGACCAAGGTAGCTACATTTCACAGGACAAAACACTGCCCAATAGGTTGCTGCATAATGAGAAGGCTTGGAAAATCTGCAGAAGCGTGCCCTGGAGTGTTTAAGTACTGATTGGCACATGCATGTGAAAGACCTAATCAAAGCTGGAGAAAGAAACACCAGAAATTTCCATGGTTTCTCTCCTTACTTTCCTACTGCTTTTGAAACCCCTGAACTCTGCTCTCTAACTTCTCAGGCCAAAGAGTGCTGCTTTCTGCTTGAGCCCTAGTTCCCTTACTCCCCAGTAATCCCAGTAACAGGGGAGTGTTCAAGGGGAGAAGGCCATTTCAAAGTGGATTTCACCTGGTATTTTCTTCTTTCAAGGTTGGCAACCCCTCTGGTTTCTACTTCCCTTGGACATTCATCCAATACTTTCAAATAGTTGCTTTTTATATTTCAACCAAAGTTTATAATTGTTGTCAGCAGGAGGGTTAGTTTGACACAAGACACTCTGCCATTGTGGAGTCTCTGTCCCTGCACTATAAATACTTGCATCACTGATTGAGTGTACTTTCTGCCATTAGTCTGTTACTGCCAAGTTATTTACCGTCAAGTGATTTAATCAAGTTGGCAGCCAGCAGCACATCCATTTTTGTCATTCATTTGTTTGTTTTTAGTAAGCTTTAAATAAACAGCTGGAGATAACTCAAGGACTGCTTCTAATTGAAAAGGCTTTAGCCAACAAGAGAGGCATTTTTGAGGCTCTTAGAGTTTTCCAACTATGTAAATACTGAACTAAAATTTTGACTGCATTCATTGTTGGTAAGAGATGAAGATTTTTCATATACCTGGGGAAACAGGAGAATTTTCCAACAATATTCAATACTTCTAACAAGTGTGCTTTCTCTGCTCTGGCAAGTTCCTATCCAAAAAAATAAAAGACAGGTCTCTGTCGTCTCCTTTTCCATTTACATTCAAATACCCTAATTAATCCCAGTACACTTTCATGTGTTCAAAAGTTATGTGTAAACTTAGTGAGAAATGTTTTCATTTATTTTGTATTTATGAAGTGCCTGAAAGCACCAAGAACAACAATAAAACTTGCCATGTATTTGTATCAAAATCCTCTCGATTAAGAATGCCTTTTAAATATCAAGAATTCCATTGCTGTCATATAGCTGTGAAGTTATTTTGAATTGTATTAAACCACTAAAAAAGAAACCCTTCTATATAGACAAAAACTCTTCATGAGATATACAAACATAAAATTGTTGAGAGCTGTAAAAGCCTAGATTTTCATTTAGAGTTAAGAATAGCCAAGATGGCCGAATAGGAACAGCTCTGGTCTACAGCTCCCAGCGTGAGCAACGCAGAAGACGGGTGATTTCTGCATTTCCATCTGAGGTACCGGGTTCATCTCACTAGGGAGTGCCAGACAGTGGGCGCAGCTCAGTGGGTGTGCGCACCGTGCGCGAGCCAAAGCAGGGCGAGGCATTGACTCACCTGGGAAGCACAAGGGGTCAGGGAGTTCCCTTTCCGAGTCAAAGAAAGGGGTGACGGACGACAACTGGAAAATCGGGTCACTCCCACCCGAATACTGCGCTTTTCCGACGGGCTTAAAAAACGGCGCACCACGAGATTATATCACACGCTTGGCTCGGAGGGTCCTACGCCCACGGAGTCTCGCTGATTGCTAGCACAGCAGTCTGAGATCAAACTGCAAGGCTGCAGCGAGGCTGGGGGAGGGGCGCTCGCCATTGCCCAGGCTTGATTAGGTAAACAAAGCAGCCTGGAAGCTCGAACTGGGTGGAGCCCACCACAGCTCAAGGAGGCCTGCCTGCCTGCCTCTCTAGGCTCCACCTCTGGGGGCAGGGCACAGACAAATAAAAAGACAGCAGTAACTTCTGCAGACTTAAATGTCCCTGTCTGACAGCTTTGAAGAGAGCAGTGGTTCTCCCAGCACGCAGCTGGAGATCTGAGAACGGGCAGACTGCCTCCTCAAGTGGGTCCCTGACCCCTGACCCCCGAGCAGCCTAACTGGGAGGCACCCCCCAGCAGGGGCACACTGACACCTCACACACGGCAGGGTATTCCAACAGACCTGCAGCTGAGGGTCCTGTCTGTTAGAAGGAAAACTAACAAACAGAAAGGACATCCACGCCAAAAACCCATCTGTACATCACCATCATCAAAGACCAAAAGTAGATAAAACCATAAAGACAGGGAAAAAACAGAACAGAAAAACTGGAAACTCTAAAAAGCAGAGCACCTCTCCTCCTCCAAAGGAACGCAGTTCCTCACCAGCGACGGAACAAAGCTGGATGGAGAATGACTTTGACGAGCTGAGAGAAGAAGGCTTCAGATGATCAAATTACTCTGAGCTACGGGAGGACATTCAAACCAAAGGCAAAGAAGTTGAAAACTTTGAAAAAACTTTAGAAGAATGTATAACTAGAATAACCAATACAGAGAAGTGCTTAAAGGAGCTGATGGAGCTGAAAACCAAGGCTCGAGAACTGCGTGAAGAATGCAGAAGCCTCAGGAGCCGATGCGATCAACTGGAAGAAAGGGTATCAGCAATGGAAGATGAAATGAATGAAATGAAGTGAGAAGGGAAGTTTAGAGAAAAAGGAATAAAAAAAAATCAGCAAAGCCTCCAAGAAATATGGGACTATGTGAAAAGACCAAATCTACGCCTGATTGGTGTACCTGAAAGTGATGGGAAGAATGGAACCAAGTTGGAAAACACGCTGCAGGATATTATCCAGGAGAACTTCCCCAATCTAGCAAGGCAGGCCAACATGCAGATTCAGGAAATACAGAGAACGCCACAAAGATACTCCTCGAGAAGAGCAACTCCAAGACACATAATTGTCAGATTCACCAAAGTTGAAATGAAGGAAAAAATGTTAAGGGCAGCCAGAGAGAAAGGTCGGGTTACCCTCAAAGGGAAGCCCATCAGACTAAGACGGGATCTCTTGGCAGAAACCCTACAAGCCAGAAGAGAGTGGGGGCCAATATTCAACATTCTTAAAGAAAAGAATTTTCAACCCAGAATTTCATATCCAGCCAAACTAAGCTTCATAAGTGAAGGAGAAATAAAATACCTTACAGACAAGCAAATGCTGAGAGATTTTGTCACCACCAGGCCTGCCTTACAAGAGCTCCTGAAGGAAGCACTAAACATGGAAACGAACAACCGGTAACAGCAGCTGCAAAATCATGCCAAAATGTAAAGACCATCGAGACTAGGAAGAAACTGCATCAACCAACAAGCAAAGTAACCAGCTAACATCATAATGACAGGATCAAATTCACACATAACAATATTAACTTTAAATGTCAATGGACTAAATGCTCCAATTAAAAGACACAGACTGACAAATTGGATAAAGAGTCAAGACCCATCAGTGTGCTGTATTCAGGAAACCCATCTCATGTGCAGAGACACACATAGGCTCAAAATAAAAGGATGGAGGAAGATCTACCAAGCCAATGGAAAACAAAAAAAGGCAGGGGTTGCAATCCTAGTCTCTGATAAAACAGACTTTAAACCAACAAAGATCAAAAGAGACAAAGAAGGCCATTACATAATGGTAAAGGGATCAATTCAGCAAGAAGAGCTAACTATCCTAAATATATATGCACCCAATACAGGAGCACCCAGATTCATAAAGCAAGTCCTGAGTGACCTACAAAGAGACTTAGACTCCCACACATTAATAATGGGAGACTTTAACACCCCACTGTCAACATTAGACAGATGAACGAGACAGAAAGTCAACAAGGATACCCAGGAATTGAACTCAGCTCTGCACCAAGCGGACCTGATAGACATCTACAGAACTCTCCACCCCAAATCCACAGAATATACATTTTTTTCAGCACCACACCACACCTATTCCAAAATTGACCACATACTGGGAAGTAAAGCTCTCCTCAGCAAATGTAAAAGAACAGAAATTATAACAAACTATCTCTCAGACCACAGTGCAATCAAACTAGAACTCAGGATTAAGAATCTCACTCAAAACCACTCAACTACATGGAAACTGAACAACCTGCTCCTGAATGACTACTGGGTACATAACGAAATGAAGGCAGAAATAAAGATGTTCTTTGAAACCAATGAGAACAAAGACACAACATACCAGAATCTCTTGGGACGCATTCAAAGCAGTGTGTAGAGGGAAATTTATAGCACTAAATGCCCACAAGAGAAAGCAGGAAAGATCCAAAATTGACACCCTAACATCACAATTAAAAGAACTAGAAAAGCAAGAGCAAACACATTCAAAAGCTAGCAGAAGGCAAGAAATAACTAAAATCAGAGCAGAACTGAAGGAAATAGAGACACAAAAATCCCTTCAAAAAATTAATGAATCCAGGAGCTGGTTTTTTGAAAGGATCAACAATATTGATAGACCGCTAGCAAGACTAATAAAGAAAAAAAGAGAGAAGAATCAAATAGACACAATAAAAAATGATAAAGGGGATATCACCACCGATCCCACAGAAATACAAACTACCATCAGAGAATACTACAAACACCTCTATGCTAATAAACTAAAAAATCTAGAAGAAATGGATAAATTCCTCGACACATACACCCTCCCAAGACTAAACCAGGAAGAAGTTGAATCTCTGAATAGACCAATAACAGGATCTGAAATTGTGACAATAATCAATAGCTTACCAACCAAAAAGAGTCCAGGACCAGATGGATTCACAGCCGAATTCTACCAGAGGTACAAGGAGGAACTGGTACCATTCCTTCTGAAACTATTCCAATCAATAGAAAAAGAGGGAATCCTCCCTAACTCATTTTATGAGGCCAGCATCATTCTGATACCAAAGCCAGGCAGAGACACAACCAAAAAAGAGAATTTTAGACCAATATCCTTGATGAACATTGATGCAAAAATCCTCAATAAAATACTGGCAAACCGAATCCAGCAGCACATCAAAAAGCTTATCCACCATGATCAAGTGGGCTTCATCCCTGGGATGCAAGGCTGGTTCAATATACGCAAATCAATAAATGTAATCCAGCATGTAAACAGAGCCAAAGACAAAAACCACATGATTATCTCAATAGATGCAGAAAAAGACTTTGACAAAATTCAACAACCCTTCATGCTAAAAACTCTCAATAAATTAGGTATTGATGGGACGTATCTGAAAATAATAAGAGCTATCTATGACAAACCCACAGCCAATATCATACTGAATGGGCAAAAACTGGAAGCATTCCCTTTGAAAACTGGCACAAGACAGGGATGCCCTCTCTCACCACTCCTATTCAACATAGTGGTGGAAGTTCTGGCCAGCGCAATTAGGCAGGAGAAGGAAATAAAGGGTATTCAATTAGGAAAAGACTAAGTCAAATTGTCCCTGTTGGCACACGACATGACTGTATATCTAGAAAACCCCATCGTCTCAGCCCAAAATCTCCTTAAGCTGATAAGCAACTTCAGCAAAGTCTCAGGATACAAAATCAATGTACAAAAATCACAAGCATTCTTATACACCAATAACAGACAAACAGAGAGCCAAATCATGAGTGAACTCCCATTCATAATTGCTTCAAAGAGAATAAAATACCTAGGAATCCAACTTACAAGGGACGTGAAGGACCTCTTCAAGGAGAACTACAAACCACTGATCAAGGAAATAAAAGAGGATACAAACAAACGGAAGAACATTCCATGCTCACGGGTAGGAAGAATCAATATCGTGAAAATGGCCATACTGCCCAAGGTAATTTACAGATTCAATGCCATCCCCATCAAGCTACCAATGACTTTCTTCACAGAATTGGAAAAAACTACTTTAAAGTTCATATGGAACCAAAAAAGAGCCCACATCGCCAAGTCAATCCTAAGCCAAAAGAACAAAGCTGGGGGCATCACACTACCTGACTTCAAACTATACTACAAGGCTACAGTAACCAAAACAGCATGGTACTCGTACCAAAACAGAGATATAGATCAATGGAACAGAACAGAGCCCTCAGAAATAACGCCACATATCTACAACTATCTGATCTTTGACAAACCTGAGAAAAACAAGCAATGGGGAAAGGATTCCCTATTTAATAAATGGGGCTGGGAAAACTGGCTAGCCATATGGAGAAAGCTGAAACTGGATCCCTTCCTTACACCTTATACAAAAATCAATTCAAGATGGATTAAAGACTTAAACGTTAGACCTAAAACCATAAAAACCCTAGAAGAAAACCTAGGCATTACCATTCAGGACATAGGCATGGGCAAGGACTTCATGTCTAAAACACCAAAAGCAATGGCAACAAAAGACAAAATTGACAAATGGGATCTAATGAAACTAAAGAGCTTCTGCACAGCAAAAGAAACTACCATCAGAGTGAACAGGCAACCTACAGAATGGGAGAAAATTTTTGCAACCTACTCATCTGACAAAGGGCTAATATCCAGAATCCACAATGAACTCAAACAAATTTACAAGAAAAAAACAAACAACCCCAACAAAACGTGGGCGAAGGACATGAACAGACACTTCTCAAAAGAAGACATTTATGCAGCCAAAAAACACATGAAAAAATGCTCATCATCACTGGCCATCAGAGAAATGCAAATCAAAACCACAATGAGATACCATCTCACACCAGTTAGAATGGCAGTCATTAAAAAGTCAGGAAACAACAGGTGCTGGAGAGGATGTGGAGAAATAGGAACACTTTTACACTGTTGGTGGGAGTGTAAACTAGTTCAACCATTGTGGAAGTCAGTGTGGCGATTCCTCAGGGATCTAGAACTGGAAATACCATTTGACCCAGCCATCCCATTACTGGGTATATACCCAAAGGACTATAAATCATGCTGCTAGAAAGACACATGCATACGTATGTTTATTGCGGCATTATTCACGATAGCAAAGACTTGGAACCAACCCAAATGTCCATCAATGATAGACTGGATTAAGAAAATGTGGCACATATACACCATGGAATACTATGCAGCCATAAAAAATGATGAGTTCATGTCCTTTGTAGGGACATGGATGAAACTGGAAACCATCATTCTCAGCAAACTGTCACAAGGACAAAAAACCAAACACCGCATATTCTCACTCATACGTGGGAACTGAACAATGAGATCACATGGACACAGGAAGGAGAATATCACACTCTGGGGACTGTGGTGGGGTGGGGGGAGGGGGGAGGGATAGCATCGGGAGATATACCTAATGCTAGATGACGAGTTAGTGGGTGCAGCGCACCAGCATGTCACATGTATACATATGTAACTAACCTGCACAATGTGCACATGTACCCTAAAACTTAAAAGTATAATAAGAATAAAAAAAAAAGAAAAGAAATAGGAATATGCAGAAAGAAAAAAAAAAAAAGAATAGCCATGTGATAAGAACATGGAGATCAGTTTGTGAATAAAGAAGAATAAGAAATTTAGATGAATTGCATGCCTTTCCAAATACCAATTTCCTTCTACTAGGTAGGAAAGAAGGAATTTAGCTCGGCAAAAAAAAAAAAAAAAACAAAAACTGAGAAGCAAGGTTGACTCTGAATCTACTCTACATTTTATGCTGGTGTAAAAGGCAAATAATGACCAAGAAGAGGGTCAAAAAATAAAAAGGAGAGTAATGTCCTTGAAATAATAATACCTTACACTCTTAGTTCCTGCCAGAAGAAACATTTCTTCTTCATCACATTTTTCAGATTGCACATTTAGAAGACTGACACTTTGTTCTAAACATAGCTTTAATGGCATAAAAGAGATAATTATGGTAATTCAGCGAAGATAGCCCACAGAGATAAATGCGACATGGAAACTATTCATGAGGAGTTTAAAAAACATCATGGAAGGTCACTAAGTTGTCTAGCGCTTCTGTATGAATATCACAAATTGTTTTATTTGATTTGAAACATTAAACAATAGCAAATAAAAATCAGTGTACTATAAAGGGTTGGATATATTTAATTACCTTTAAGCAGGAGTACACTCATTCTAAAATAGACAAAACAAATGAAAAACAAACTCTGTTGTACTCCTGTTAGAAAATGTTTTGTTAAGTTATGTTATCAATAAATTTTTAGAACAAGTGCTAGCCTACTTCAATTCTGGTAGACAGAGTGACCACACCAGTAAGCAGCGCTCCTCACCAAGTCCAGTGGCTTATCAGGAGGATGTTTATTGAGGCTTGCCTGTGTCTGGTGTGTTTGGCACTTACAGCGGCATGGGCCCTCAATCAATTAATGGCCCATGAATAAAAGTATAAATGAGTGAGGGTATTTTCATAGCAGATCACACAAAAAAATTCTTAGAGATATTTCTGCCTGAAACTTTAAAATACTTGATTTAATTATATAGAAGCTCATAAAAATACAGAAATAACATTTAAAGGAAAAAAAGAACCCAAATCATATTCTACCATAAAAGTGACTTGTCCAGAAGAAAACATTTATTCATTTTTGTTACATACAATTGTTTAGCACTAGTGTGGCAAACATTGTGCTCGAGGTAACACTGAAGCAAAAATAATCCGTGTCCTCAGAGACCACAGTTTACATTTCAATTGCTATCATAACTTGAATTTCAAACTCTAATTTAAAAACAAAGTGTGCTAGAGATGAGAACTGAAAAACAAGAGATTGACACTAGCATTCAAATTTATTTTTGAGATAACTTTGAATAATTTTAAGATGAACTTATAACTTATTCTTTGATGAATTAAACCAATGTTTTTTCAGTACATACAAAATACCAAATATAAAAATGAACAGATCACAAATTCTGCAAGGTCTGATAGGCTAAAAGGGAAGAAAGATGAGCAAAAAGATTAATGTGGCAATTTGACAAGGGTTGGCAGTATAGGATGAGAGCAAAGAGAAGGAAGATAACTTTTATAGAAGAAAACCTCAGCAAAGTTGTCCCAGAGGAAAGGAAAATTGAGTTGAGCCTCAGAGGTTAAATAAAGTTCAGAATGTGAATAAATGGAGAAGGGAAGGTGATAAGCTACAACCAAAAGCATGTGGGAAGTGAGAAAGTGCAAAAAACCAAGAAAACAACAGCAAAAATAACCTTGGTGGTTGTTGATTTTTTTTTTTTTAATTTGCTGATGACTCAGGTTTCTCCGAGTCTTTGGAACTGTGAAATCACTGTAGCAAGTTTAAATGAAGTATGAAATAACACTTTGAGGTTAGGCAGCTGGGGTTGCTTGGGAAGGAAATGCTATACTTTGAACTGCTGTTTGCAATGGTACCAAATGAAAACACAGACATGAAAATGCAGCTGTTGTTTTCAATTAAAATAAGGCAAATACATGTTAATGTAAAATAATGTATGTTATATAAACTCTATTCTAAATTGGAACTAACAATCTAATAGACTAAGATTAGATTGATTCATGATGGTAGAAGCTGGATTTAAATAAATTCTTCACCTTTCTAAGTATCTAGGAAACAAGAGGAATAGAGTTTACTTAGCAAAAAATGTAGCAAGTAGTTGTTTTTACTGTGATAGACACTGTGGATTCCTTCCCAGTTTCTTTACAGAACCCTAATGTTGTTTATATGACTCAGGTAAACGTGGCTCAGTCTCAGCTCCAGGAGAAGCCTCTGATTCATTCAAACCAACCTGAGCTTCATTTTCCTGGTAACTATTTTTGGATAGCCACATTACCTAAGTTAGCCATTATACTCCACTTACCCCTGATTGCCACTTGTGATAGTTAATTTTATAGGTCAATTTGACTGGATTAAGGAATACCTAGATAGCTGATAAACCATTACTTCTGGTTACGTCTGTGAGGGTGATTCCACAAGAGACTGACATTTGAATCAGTAGACAGAGTAAAGAAGATCCATTCTCACCCAATGAGAGCAGGCACTATCCAATAGGCTGAGGGTATGGATAGAAGAAAATCTCAGAGGAAAGTTGAATTCCCTCCCTTCCTTTCCCTCTCACTCTCCCTTTCTCCTTCTCTCTCCTTCTCCCTCTCCCTCTCTCTCCTTCCCTCTCCCCAGCTCCCTCTCTCTCTCTTACGGAGCTGGGACACCCCTCTTCCTCTGCCCTTAGACATCAGAACTCCAGGTTCTCTGGTCTTTGGATTCTGGGACTTACAGCAGTGGGCCCCTTGTGTTCTCAGGTTTGGGGCTTGAGAGTTACACGATTTGCTGTCCTGAGTCTGAGACCTTGGGACTTGGACTGAACCACACTACCAACTTCCTTAGTTCTCCAACTTGCAGACAACTTAATATGGGACTTCTTAGCTTCTAAAATTACATGAGCAAACTCCCCTAAATCCCCTCTTTATCTATCTATATATCTATCTATCTATGATCATGCACTTCCTCCCACCCATGGACCAATCAGCATGCACTTCCTCCCACCCATGGGCCAATCAGCATGCACCTCCTCTATTCTGAGCCTGTGAAAATCTCAGACTCAGCCCAACTCAGAGACTCACTGGGAGGACCTGCCTGAGAACAGGAGCTACCTACTTCTGGTCTCCTCTCTGCTGAGTGCTGTTCTATCACTCAATAAAGCTCCTCTCCACGTTGCTCACCCACCAGTTGTCCACATGTCCTCAGCAATTGGTAGCAAAGTCAGTGTGATATCCTGAGTTGGAGTGGATTCTGGCACCAAACAAAAGACACTAGTGGAAAAAGTGGTGGAATCAAAATAAAGTCTGAAGTTTATTTAATAATGTTGTATGATAATAGTGATGAACCATACTTAATGTAAGATTAGGTGGAACTGGATAAGGGATACACAGCCTTTGTGTTCTCTTTATGACCTTTCTGTTTGTAAACCTAAAATTATTCTAAAATAAAAAAATGTAGTTAAAAACAAAGTCTGAACTAATGATCCCAGAGTGACATCCAAGACCCATGTTAGATCTTACTCACTGGAATAGAGCAAAAGTCTTGAAAGAGTCTAGATGTGTCTGCCAAAAACTGGCATTCCTCCTCCTAGAAGGATTCTAATTTCTTACAAAAGTGGGCACCTCTCGATACTCAAATTTAAATGTGCTTATTTTAATAGGAGCTTTTTAGATTAATTTAGCAAAGTCATGTAATGTTGCTTCAATCTAATTGCCTGTTTAGAATCCTTCACAACAAATCATGCATGCTCACAGTCCTTGTAATTATGGAATCTCTCTAGCTTTGTGGTGATTATTCAAGAACACGTCAAGTTTAGGTCCGGTCCATCTTTATCCGTTGACATCAACAGTTTCAGTTTCCCAGGTGGGATGTTTTTCTGATCATTTCCAAAGGAAGCCTCTCCCTGGTGGTCTGGCTATACTTGGTGTCACATTAAATAATAATAATAATAACTTTTAATAAAATAAAAGAGAAAAATATTAATCCAGAAGTCTTCAGAGTGCAACAGTTCATTGACAGGATGGTAACAGGTTTACAGGGCACATCACGACACGCAGCAGTTTCCTGAAAATTCTTCTTGGCCATTCTCCTACCATGGTGTCTCTCATTTGCGGCAACTCTTAGCACACTGTATGTTCGTGAGATGCCTACACTCACTTCCACACAGGAGCCCATCCACTCTCAGGAAAGAGCCCTCACAACATTGACCTGGCATCCAAGCCCACTTACTGTCCCTACTTGTGGGAAATAGTCCCAAAACCCACTTCCAATGCTTTTCTCAGGAATATCAACCCTTCTAGAATTCTGGCTACCTCATTACATTTTCATTGATATTGACTGTAATTTGGGATCACCTTACAATGGCAAGTGTAATCTGTAGAAGGTGTTAATAGAAACTTTAATCTGTTGAAAAAGTTCACAGAAAATAATATTCAATTATCCTAAAGGTGACTTTCAACCAAAGCAATGGTGAACCAAGTGTAATTAGACTTAGCAAATAAAAATATACAATATCCAGTTAAATTGGAATTTCAGAAATACTGTTTTTATAGAATTAGACCATATTTGTACTAAAAAAATGACTAATTATTTGCCTAAAACTCAAATTTAACTGGAAATCCTTATTTTGTCTAGCAATCTAAGAGTAAATTGTGCTATCCCAAGAATGCCTTTCTGTGCAGGGCAGTGCTAAGGCCACATTCTCTGAGGCCCAAAATGATACTAAAAGACATCCTTTTTAAGAAGACAAAAATAGATAGGTGACTTTTACATTTAATGATGGTATCTATGAGTCATGCTTTTTCTTTCTCTCATACTTTCTCCAATACTTTTCCATATGTGTAATTTACTTTTGATGTTTATGAAAGTCCTGCAGATAACCATTTCAAAGAATAATAAAATTACTTTTTGCTTTTCTCTGTAGCTAGGATAGATTCTGCAGGACAGAAAGAAGGATAGTACCTATCAATAGGCAATAACAAAAAAGCACGATCCAACTTTTGCTTTTTAAAAACAAGGTGATGTTATCCTAGAGCCTCCTGGGTGAACTATATATTCTGTAGAGAAGTGTTTTTGTGCATCCATAAAACAAAGTTATTCCTTAAAAAATTACTCTCCTAAGGTTTGCTGTGATAGAAAATGCCATTTTTATGATAGTATAAAAAATGACCATTTAAAAATAGGTCATCGTATCTGACTGCAGCAGACGACTGTTTGCTTTCTTTTGACTTCATAATTTGAGTTTTCTGTTTTTTTTTTTTCCTTTATGAGAGTCTGAAATTAGTACTTGGTAATTAACATACATGTTACAATTGAAAGTTTAAACAAATGCCCCCATTTGACTTTAAATCATTTTTCTCTGACCTTTTTATATTACGTTATAGAGAAATGAATTATTCTGTTACATGTTAAGAAGCTTTATGTCTGATCATGACAATAAACAGAATCTTTACATTTCATTTTAAATGTACACAAATAAACACTAGGAAAAGATAAATATAAAATTATTCTCCAAAACAATTTTCATTGTATTTACCAGATTATACCTTTTCAGCTTTCTAATATTCTGAGACATTACGTCTAGTGGTATGCATCCTGAATCATTGTTTTTATTCCACAAATTATTTCTCCAAACTTTGTTAAAATGCGTCAAAATATAAAATTATATTTCTCACTAGTAACTGCATTATATCCTTTTTCATTTTATTTTCCGCAAAGGTAGTACCCAACCCAAATTCCAAGGTACTTCAATTCAATGGGATCTGTTATCAGTCTGCCTTCTTAGCTTTGACTTGAGCATCCACATTCATGTTTATAGTCATAAATAATATCTGCATAGAATCACCAAATTCTTAATTCAAGCTTGCTATTTCCATATGAATCACCAAGCAATCCTCACTACAACATTCCAAATCTGGGCAATCAAGTTCAAAGCATAAATAATAACATGATGATAAAATATAGAAACAATACTTAAGCAATAATCATAAAAACAAAACTCCCCGTGATCTGTAAAAATTTAGTTATTTAGGCTTTTCCATTCATGACTTCATTAGATACTCATAACAATCGTATAAAACAGATAGTTGGTTATCATTATTGTTATTTAATGCATGAGAACACAGGCTCAGGGTGGTTAATAGCTTGTGCTTGAGGCTATAACATTAGTGAGGGATGGGTAGAGCCTGGACCAGAGCTCATTAATTTTTGAACACCAGCCCATGTTCTCTCTGGTGTTTATAAGGAAAAAAAAAAACTCTCGAGCTACAAGGAAAAGCAAAGAAATCATTATGAGGCTAGAGAGAAACCAGCTGAAACCATTTGGATAAAGAGCATGATGAGAAAATATTTGTTATACAACCTTTAAAAACAGAACCATGATATTCTGATTAGAACCTCAAGGTTAACCCTAAGTCTGAGAATACACACTTTAGATAGCAACAAGCTCTAACAGAAATATGGCCAGAGCCACCAACACAAAGATAAATTTTACATGTCCACAGAAGGGGAAGTATCCTTCTAGTGATGGCTCCTCCAAATTCCCCTACCCAGAAGAACTCTCGCTCTCCTCCAAATCCCTTAGTACACAGCATTCCTCTTAGGACATGTATCATGCTCTACTTCCATGGGCCTTGACTCTGGCTGTACATCTGAATCATGTGTTGAGCATTTTAAATAATACAGATTCTTGGTATCCACAGCATATCAGCCGAATCAGATGCTTGGAAAGTAGGGACAAGACATTCCTATTTTTTAAAATATTATCAGGTATCCCTGATGCACAGTTAGGTTTATTTATCTTTTATTTTTGTAAATTTTGGTGGGTACATAGTAGGTGTATCTATTTATGACGTACATGAGATGTTTTGATACAATGTGAAAGAAGCACATCATGGAGGATGGAGCATATCCAGCTACTCAAGCATTTATCCTATGAGTTACAAATAATTTAATTACACTCTTTAAGTTATTTGAAAATGAACAATTAAGTTATTATTGACTACAGTTTTTAAAAGCTAAGCTATAAATTTTGTAATCTGTTTATTGAATTCAGGCAATGTTTACTGAGCATCAACTATATGTGAGAAATGGAAAGGAGGATCTGAACAAGATACAGAATCTTTCTTCAAAGGGCTGATGCTTGGTTGGGAAATAGAGAGCTATACATAAGTGCATTGTAAATGCAACTACTATTATAACTGTGCAATAGATATCGCCTATGAGTACTATTGTTGTATTCTGTGGAATTACGATTGGGCAGGGTCTATACTTACTCTATATTCCACACCACATTTAATACAATGCTGTAGTACATGTTCACTAAATCCTGTGAGTTGGAATTATTAACAGCCATGTATTGTTCTTTTTAAACTCTGATATTTAAAGATTAATTCTATGTATATAATACAGAAAGTTCTTTTTTATAAGAAGCAAAGCTGTTTCTCTACCTCTCTCCAACACTGATGCTTGCTGCTGCTGGCAGATTCTCCATTTTGTTAGAAGTCACATCTGTCATTTACCTACATGTTTGAAAAAACCTGCTACTACTGCATTTCTTGAATTTTAGGTTTAGACATATCTGTTTGTTTCTGTATGCTATTCTCCTCTTAAGTAATTATATTTTCTCCTCCATCTTCAATATAATAACACACAATTATCTCTATTTTTGTTTGTTGTTTGCTTGTTTGTTTTTGTTTTGTCTTGTTTGAAACGGAGTCTTGCTCTGTCACCCAGGCTGGAGTGCAGTGGCGTGATCTCGGCTCACTGCAACCTCTGCCTCCTGGGTTCACGCCATTCTCCTGTCTCAGCCTCCCAAGTAGCTGGGACTACAGGCGCCCGCCACCACGCCTGGCTAATTTTTTTGTATTTTTAGTAGAGACGGGGTTTCACTGTGTTAGCCAGGATGGTCTCCATCTCCTGAACTCGTGATCCACCCGCCTTGGCCTCCCAAAGTGCTGGGATTACAGGTATGAACAATTATCTCTTAAATCAATATTCAGTCTTTGTATTATTATATACAAACATTATTCAAAATCAAGCCACTATTCTAAACTGATGTGCATTTTTAAATTATTTCTTTGGTGGTAACAATTGCCTCTTCTCGTTCCATATATATATATATATATATATATATACATATGTATATATGTATATACGTATGTATATGTGTATGAGTATTTATATCTGTGTAGTTGTATGTCTGTCTGTGTATATATATACATATGATTACCTGATGTGTTTGGTTATAAAATTTAACCATAATAAAAGTGGTTACAGGCTTGAGCTGTTAGACTTGTAACTGAGTTAAGAGTTAATCATATACATATAATAACCAGGAGGCCAGTGGGGCCAGAGCAGAGTTAGTAAGCAGGAAAGTAGAGGAGGCGTGGTTAGGAAGATCAGGCCTTACAGGAGGACTTTTAAATGACTTGGGCTTTTACTCTGAGTGCACCAGAGATCCAATAAATGCTTTGAGCACAGAAGTAGCCTGACTCTTAAGATAATTAATCAAGCTCTTGTTTGAAAAAAGAATGTTGGTTGGAGGGAGAGGGAAAATGTGGAAGCAGGTGAGATGCTAATGGTCCAGGTTAGGCAGTGGCTGCAGAGGTGGTGAGAAGTTGTCAAACTCTAGATGTATTTTGAAGGTAGAGCCAACAAAGTTTCTTTAAGATTTCTTTCCTTTTTAAAAATAACAGCTTTGTTGAGATATAAGTCATACACCATAAAGCTCACCCTTTTAAACTGTACCATTTCATGGCTTTTAGTATATTCACAAAATTATGCGGTGATCATCACTATCTAATTCCAGAACAATTTATAAGATTTAAGGCTAGGTGCAATGGCTCATGCCTGTAATACCAACAATTTGGTAGGCCCAGGTGGGAGGATTGCTTGAGGCCAGGAGTGTGAGACTAGCCTAGGCAGTGCAGCCATGATGATGCCACTGCACTCTAGCCTGGGCAACATTGCAAGACTCTGTCTCTTAAAAAAAAAAGTCTTTAAGATTTAAAATGTTTTTCAAACTTTCAAAATCAGACACGATTTTGACTCATTTTGTTTTTGAATAATTTAAACAGTAAACAGAGTAAAAAAATTTAAAAAATATTTTGTAAAAAAAAAAAAAAAGACGGAGGGAAAGAAATGTGTGGCTTTGTTCCATTATCCCATGTGCCTAGGTTGAGATAAACTTAAGTGGAAATGGTTTAATGACCAAAATTTTTATGTAGGAAATGACTATATCAGTGTCAATTCTGCTCAATTAGTAGCTTGTATTCGGATGGCTGTGTTGAGCATAATTCAGGGAAACATTCAGAGTGCGTGTGACACAATCATTGGATGGGAGAGAGGTGTCATACACTCTGAATTTTCCACACTTGGCCTACAGTAACAGAGAAGAAACTAACTAATAGTGTGCCATAACAGAGAGCCACACTTACTGCCTCATGTACCATCTGGAAGTAAGATATTATGGTGTATAACTTTTAATGCTGTACAGTGTGAAGACTATCACCATCTGCAATAGTTTTAAACTTTGACAAATTTCAGCGATCTGTTTATTTCAAATATATTTTCATCCTTTATCCAACCACTGACTGTGTTATAATAAATCAGCTATTAAATTTTTCTTAGTTTCAGTTTCTTACCTAACAAATTCCACCCCAAATCTGAGCTAATGTCTGGCATGAGTTTGCAGGAGCTCAGGGTGCAACCTGTTACACAGAGCATCAAGAAAATATCATCCAGTTGGCATAAATTTGTTGCAATGTTAATGGCACTGAGTAAAAAAAAAAAGACTTGGTAAAAATATCTTGAACTTTAAAATTCTCAGTATATTTAAGAAAGTAAATAGTGGAGTCTTCCTGGACATGTTAGTACAATGGTTCTTTATGAAATTATTAGTATTTGAAAAGCCATAATAAAAAATGCAGAAAGTATATCTGTGCTAACAAGGAATGGAACTATAATAAAGTCCTGTTAAATGAAGCCCAAATTGTATTCACAGAAATATGTATCTCAGAAGGAAAATATTATCAGAATTAAACATTTATAGAAATTTCACCCCTTCACAAGTTGACCAGATGTCGAAATTTGATAAATAACAATTTAACTATTTTCTAAGATATTAAAAATGTAACTTGAAAGGAGATCACATAATTGTGATAATTCTAGTTCAGGAACAGCTAAGAAATTCAGCTACAGGAGTTTCATCTGAAACCAGTAAGACCTTTATGAAACCTAGATAATATTCATCAAACACTCTACATGACTACTGAGAACCAAAATTAGGTTAAACAGGACAAGGGGCTTAAGACAGCCATGACCATAAACATAATTTTAGATAGTTTTTGATGAGCAAATACTAGACTTATTTTCTACTACTGAATAAAACTTTTGGTGAAGGTTCTTGTGTCTCTATCTTTGCATATGTTGGAGAAGAAACTATATTTAATCATTTGTGACAGTTAATTATTAGTAGAACTACTTTTTCTGTACCCACCACTTATGTATAAATTACCTCTTACAGGAACTAGACAAGAGAAGGACAAGAAAAGAAAGAGTAAGAAGGTGGGGGAGAAAAATAGAAGGAGACAAGGGGGAATAAAGTATTTAAGATTTAAATTTAAATGAGTAAAAAGAGGAAGAAACAATGAGTAAAAGAAAAAAGAGAGAGTAAGAGTTAAGAGAAAGAAATGCCAAAAAGTGAGATGCTATGAGGAGATCCCAAAATTATCCTCAAAATTTATTCAGTAGCTTTATTGATTATATGTTTTATTGAACATATTGCCTAATGATAGAAGGATTTTCTGGGAATCATCACATGTGCAACACTATAGGATCACAAGATATATCCCGACTTGAGTAACTGTGATAAAGGTGGAAAAACAGGATGTAAGGAATGAGGTCAGATAAATGCAGAAGTGACTCAAAAATTAAGTCAGTGCCTGAGGAGCTTCATAAGTATCTTTCATTATGTTGACGTAGGAGAAAGACTGGAAAGTAAAAAATAACAACAAAATCTTATCCATTTTGTTTTGGTCTGTCTGAAGAAATGTGATATTATGAGATAGATGAGTATCACCCTGGAGGCTTAAAAGATGGATCCCCCAAATTCTTTTGCTGCTAGCACATTCCAAGGCAAAAGAAAATCTTCAAGAAGTCCTCAGCTTCTTGTCTGTTGGGTAAACATAACGCCTCAGTAAAAATCCTGTAAGAGGATATGACAGCTGGATGATACAATTGATTGACATTCCGTAGTCACCCAGCAACTTCCCAAATGTCAAATATTATTTCATAGAAGTTAATCTCTAAAGAGAGATTATATTAACTGATTGACTGTAGTGTGTGGTCCCTTGATGCTGTATTTTTCCATATAAATTGTTAAATTGGCTTTGTGGTTTCTGCATCAATCTATTGTTGCACTGATCAGGGAGCCTAATTTACTCTGGATACACTGACAAAAACAAATTTCAAAAATAAATCAGAAGACTTGATGTATAATTATGATGACCACAACAATAGATCACTATCCATGCAGACCCTGTGGTGGGCCAACCGTTCTTCCTGAGGACATAGTAGATCACTTCTCTATAATCACACATCTAAGATTCAGGCCTCTTTCTTTAAATTTTGCTCAAAGCTTCACCTAAAACTTTGGAGAAAGCTATCGCATCTCTAAGTAATAAAACACAAATATATTTTAATTAGCTTTCATAATGTATATATTTGAAAAACAGAATATATGGAAAAGATTTTCATTGGTCCTTATGCAATTATAATAAACTAAAAAAAAAAGCAAGCTGTTGGGAAATAATTTTCCTTTCTCCTTAACCTCTTTTAGTTTATGTGGCTTTAGAGAGGCCAATAAAATCACAATCTCTGCTTCTAAAAGGTTCCATCTGTTCCTGCTGCTTATTCCCTGTCTTGAAGGCTGAATCCTTTTGCTTCCCAATTATCCTCAGTATCCAACTGTGATGATGGCAAAGAGAGTGGTAGAAGAGAGCATGTGGAACCAAGAAATGGTGATTAGGTTTTCATAAAAATATGCCTAGTAAGAAATAGAGAGAGAGGGAGATGCAGAAAATGTAGACAATATCACCAGAGCTTTATAATTATCCCAAGCTTAATTTACATGTTTTGACATCCAGATAAACTTGATCCTGCATACCCTGTTTCTATCTTGTATATGACATTTACATATATTAACCATGATAAATAAGAGGAGGGAAGGACCTAAAGTTTATTGAGCACTCCCTATGTGTCAGAAATTATATATCCATAATTAATTTTCTCCATAGGCATTTTTATTTTAAGGATGAGGGAGATATGCCTTAGAGATTCCAAGTCAAGTGGCCAAGGTTACACGACCAGTTAAGTGGCGGAATTGGGAATTAGACCAAAAGAACTGTCTGATTCTGTGGCCCATGCTGTTTCCACTATACCACCCTGACTCTACTAATGAGTGGTATTTTTCTATACTGAAAAGCTCAAGGCTTTATAATGAGATACATATGAGCTTGGATCCCAGCATTGCCATTTTCTAAGTGTAATTTTGGGCTAGTTACCTTTCTGAATTTGTTTCCTCTTTTGTAAAATTTATGTAATAATAATAATGCCTATAATATAGATATATTGTGATGATTATTGATATATTTAGACAAGTTATCATATTAGCATGTTATTAATAATAAAAGCCATTAGTTCAGAAGTATTATAAAAATAACCTACAGTAGAATCAGGCTAGAACATTATAAGGAGTTCCACAACACGGATACACTTAATGTTAAATTTTATTATTGTATTTGTCCTTTCTCACACTGCTAATACAGACATATCTGAGACTAGGTAATTTATAAAGGAAAGACGTTTAATTGACTTACAGTTCAGCATGGCTGGGGAGGTCTCAGGAAACTTTCAATCATGGCAGAAAGGGCAGCAAACACATCCTTCTTCACATGGCGGCAGAAGAGAGAAGTGCTGAGCAAAGGAGGAAAAGCCCCTTATAAAACCATGAGATCTCATGAGAACTCACTCACTATCACAGAACAGCATGAGGGTAACTACCTCCATGATTCAATTACCTCCCACTGGGCCCCTCCCGTGACACATGGGGATTATAGGAACTATAATCCAAGATGAGATTTGGGTGGGGACAAAGTCAAACCATATCAATGATCAGCACAAAAAGGCTGAGATCAGATTGTACTGAGGATACCTTTGGAGAGAAAACATTTCTGTGGGCCAACAACTGGATGCTAGACTTCTTTCTCAATATATTTATTTATGGATGGTGCAGCCCCACGTTGGAAATAACAAAATATATCCTACCAGCAAGTGACAAAGAATAGCAAGAGGACAACAAAATCAACCCCATTTTTCCAAACCCATCCTCCAACGTTGTTTTTCCTTAAGTCCAAGTTATATACAAAATGGGTGTTTCTTTTTGGAACTAGAGGACTTCTTACCTTGCCTATTATATTACTTGTTTTATAAACTATTTTCAGGTTAATGAACACTCTTGAACCTTATATGTTTATTTTGACATGTATACTTACCCATTTGGCTTCAATCTTTTTAATTACAATCAATATACTTTAAACATGTAAGTTGTATAGAATAATTGGCATCCCCAATTCTAGCCCCAGACTGTATTAGCTATATCGTCCATAGCACATTGAGCTATTTAATTACAATTTAATCATAATTATTTGCTTGAATATCCTTTCTCCACCACCAATCTCCTCAACGACAGACATTGTATAGTATTTACATTTGGCTTTGTGCATGAAAGGTGTTCAAAAGTGTTCATTAAATAAATACATGAATGAGCGATTGCTGGACTCACATATTGCATGCCTACAGATGAAAAAAGAAAGTACTATAAAAACTCTGAGAATAAAACTATTAAATCAATGCAAAATAGAGGACATCATATTAACGCAAGCCACGCTTTAAGTAGAAAACATTTCTTTAAGCCAGGGAGAGCAATATCAGGGTATTCTTCAATCTTAATAGAAGGAGAAAAGTTTAACTACATGCTCATGTCCTAGTCATGGTGGGTGTGTGTGTGAATGTGTGTGTGTGTGTGTGAATGTGTGTGTGTGTGTGTGTGTAATATGGTGATCTGATACAGAATGGTCATCAATAGATCACAGAATGAGACAACCAGAACAGAATGGAAACTATCCAAGGATGTGGACTCTTGGGCTAAGATCAGCCTGTGTCTAGGAGGCACACACTAGAGATCAACAGATTTGAATCAATCAGCTATACCCCCTTGCCAGGATTTCACACCCATCTAGCAAGCCTCCATCTACATTTTATTTATGAAGACAATGTCTATGTGCCTTACAGGCAACCCAGGTACCTCTTGTTTTTTGTTTTTCTGTTTTTTCTGTTTTTGTTTTTTGTTTTTTTTTAAGACAGAATTTTGCTCTTGTTGCCCAGGCTGGAGTGCAATGGTGAGATCTAGGCTCACTGCAACCTCTGCCTCCTGGGTTCAAGTGATTCTCCTGCCTCAGCCTCCCAAGTAGCTGAGATTACAGGCACCTGCCACCATGCCCAGCTAATTTTTGTATTTTAGTAGAGACGGGGTTTCACCATGTTGGTCAGGCTCCTCTTGAATTCCTCACCTCAGGTGATCCACCCGCCTCGGCCTCCCAAAGTGCTGGGGCTACAGGCATAAGCCACTGCTCCCGGCCACATCTTATTGTTATTTATCAGTTTTCTGTGGGATTGTTTAATGTTGATCAATCTCCCTGGATCTAATCAACTCTGAGGCTTTAACAGAATTTACTTCTTAGAGCCTTACACTAAGAAGAAAACCTAAGGCCATGGAAAAGGCAACAAGGTGGTGATGTTTTGGGAATCTTCCAGGTCAATAAATAGTTAGATAACTTTTCCATGGCAATATTCCTGCATTTTCTGCATGCAGAAATAAGGAACTGCCATATAAAAGGCAGAGGGAATAATAGAGACAGGACTTTCATATTTCTAATGTTGAAGAGCCACAACTAGGGTAACTATAATTATAGATAGTGCAATCTAACAAAAGCAGCATGGACTTTGAATCCAGCTCTCATCTTTAATACTTACTAGCTGTGTAACTTTGGACAGGTTACTTAAAAGTTACTTAAACTCTGAGTCTCCTGAGGTGTAAATTAGCGATGTTACCACATGTTAGTACCAGATAGTTAGTGTAATATGCTGGCAAGATCTGGATGTGAAGGAAATAAGAATGTTTTCTGAAACATAAACTAAAAGATTAACATAGAAGATATCTAACAAATTGCAAAAAGTAAAACTAAAGAGACAAAATGGTTCCAGTGTTGTTATAGTTGACTGAATATTTGACCTATCTATAGAAATAATGTATCAACTAGAAAAGGGAGTAGAGAGTATCAAAAAAATCTCAAAAGGCAAAAGTTGGAAATGTCCATCTATCAGCAGACAATTCCGTCCCTATTGTGAAATAAAGGGGAGGTATTAAGTCATCCTAAACTAAAACCATGAGGTTATATGAACTCTTCTTATTTTGTCAGATTCTTAGCAATCAGCTGAAAACTTGGCATCTCAAATTCTACCTGAGAAATAGCTGCTCATTAAAAACTATCTCCTGACCCTCTATTGTTTTAATGGTGTTGAGTATTATTGTTTCTGCAATATATTTTTTTCTCATGATCAGTCAAATAGTTAATGCATATCTGATAACTATCCATTACATGCCTGGAAATGCATGACAGATATTAGAAAAAAAGTAGCAACCAAACACAAACATTTCAGGCCCCACAGAGCAAACTAGAGAATTTCACTGCATATTGATCAGTTTTCCTTTCCTTTTTAAACATATTTTTCATAAGCTCATCTAATGTATGCTGACATCGCGTTATGTCTACTTCTACTGTCTCACCAAATTAGGTTATTAAAGCTGGAAAACATGTCCAGATTCCTAACTGAGGTAAATTCATTTAAAAGCAAAATGCTTTTATTTCATTTTTCATGGGAAAATTTAAGATTTTATGTGAGTGTTAAAAATCTCAACATCACAGCATCCAGTAAGGTATCTAATTTGTTTCCTAAGATTCTTACATGAATTTGTGAAGGTCAAAGATAAATTATTTGATACCTTGAGTATAGTGCCAAGTGCCTGGTAGATGCTCAATAACTAATAACAATAGTAATATCAAGAAGAAGAGTTAAAAAATAGCACTAACAGGTACCAACTCAAATCCCATTCAATAGTAACAGGTGAAGTTGTGTTATGTGTGTTTTTGTTTGTTTGTTTTTTGTTCGTACAGATGCATTAACTGAAACACAGAGAAGTAAGTAATTTTCCCAATGCTAGACTGTTAGCAACTTAGCAGGGTTAGTAAGCAAAGTAAAGCTTGAATTCAAGCAGTCTCACTACAGTCTTGTGTTTTTAACACACCATGTAATTATGGCTTTTTATATACTATAGCATTTTTGTTTTTCTTATTATGTGGTTATTATTACTAATAATAGCATTTAGAGTTTCTTAATCTATAAACTAAATGAATTTAATTGGCTGCTTTGGCTATGATTGAAAAATTGATTAATTCAGCATAGTTTCAGAAATTGGAGTTATAACTCATATTGGGCTCACATCAAACAAGATATGAAATAATGTACAAAATAACTGATTAATGTACTTTTCCCAAAGCAATAGTTTCTACTAAATGGGAAGGCTAAATATGTAAATGCAATGCAATACCCATAACATTTCTCTAAAACTTTCTGGCCGGGCACAGTGGCTCATGCCTGTAATGACAGCACTTCGGGAGGCTGAGGCAGGCAGATCACGAGGCCAGGAGTTCGAGACCAGCCTGGCCAGCATGGTGAAACTCTGTCTCTACTAAAAATACAAAAAATTAGCCAGGCATGGTGGTGAGTGCCTATAATCCCAGCTACTTGGGAGGCTGTGGCAGGAGAATTGCTTGAATCCGGGAGGCAGAGGTTGCAATGAGCCAAGATTGCACCACTGCACTCCAGCCTGGGTGACAGAGTGAGACTCCATCTCAAAAAAAATAATAATAAATAAATAATAGATTCCTATAAATGTGAAAAGTAAACAAAATTAATTTGGAAGGATAAGCATGCAAGTACAGCCAGAAATATTCTTAACAATGAATAAGGAAGGAAGATACACTCTTTTAGATATAAAAATATATTTCAAAGATAAGTAAAACAAGATTATAGAGGTAAGTTAGAATAAATCTATACTACGTACTATAGTTTAAAGTCATGTAGACATTTAATATATATTTAATCTATGTGAATATAAGACAATGTTGATATTAAAATAAATACAAAAGAATAAATCATTAAGTGGTTCTGAAATAACTAGCCATTTCTACAAAAATTGAAAAAATGAATTCTGTATTCCTGTATGAATTCATAAAAATAATATCAAACGTATCAAATACTTGCATATAAAATAAGAAACAATATTACTCGTAAAATATAGGTAAGCATCATACTTTTGGTGACAGAGACAACCTTTCTACAAATGATATACAGAAAAACTATATAGAAGAAATATAGGTACCACATCATTTTGAAATGGTTATACCTCAAAAATGCCACAATTAGAGTGACAAACTAGGAAAGTAATTTGAACTTATATAAACAGAAGATTAATATCTTTAATTTTAAATAGCTGTTAATTTAAAAAAACTAATAGAAAAATAAGTAAAAGATATCAACAAATAAAATGAAAAAAGTAGACTTAGAGTCAATAGAGGCAATGCAGTTACCAAGGCAGTAGAAGGAGGAATCGAGAGCCGAGACCAGCTCTCACCTTAGGACGACTCCTAGGGAAGTGTGAGTGAAGTGCAGGTGGGGCAGCCCACTCTTGCCACGGGCCTCTGGGATCTTAGCTACAAAAGATCCCAGGACCCCAGTAGACATTTGAATTGGCAGGGGGATCTGCCCCCTAGGGTAGGCAGAAACAGAGCTTCAGCCTGCCCAGAGGCCAGGGAATTTTGTGAGCAGGGCAGCTGCAGCAGAACGCAGCCATAGAGGCCCATCCCTCAAGTCTCTCCATTTCCTTTAAGTAACTCTAAATTGACCACCAGGGCCAAGAGAGAACAAGGTCATCTTTACCACCCAGTACTGGGGCACATGTGTTCAGCAGGCCCCCCTGCCTGCCACCCTTCCCAAGTTCCCTGCCTGGCTGCTCCCACAGGAGCATGTGCACAGTGCAGCCTCTGCTGCTGAGCCTAGGTGCTTTGCCCAGGGCTCCACTTAAATGCTTCCCCACCAGCATGGGAGCACTTCAAATCCTGCAGCCCAGCCAGTTCCTGACCCTGAGGGGCCTCAGGATAGAGTCAGAAGCCTGGTTGCAGCACCCTAAGGTTGTAGTACACAACTCAGCAGTGCTGAGCTGAGATCTGTGGCCAGCACTAGAATAGGGGAAGACACCCCACCCCACTCTCTGAACACTGAGAGGGGTGAGAAGCATGGGCTCATGGGCTCTCCCTTTGCAGAGCCAATCCACAAATGATGTGGCCTGTCTGCCAGCTGCAGCCTCTGCCCAAGGAAGCTTTGCAACCAGAAACACCAAAGGAAATGCAGGTGCAGCACCAGCGATCAGAGGGGATCCCCTAAGGCCTGGGAGTTGACCCGGTAATGGGGTTATCTCTTTCCCATCACCCATCACAGAGAACTACTGCAAAGGCACTGAAACAAAAAAAAAAAGAGACATGTGACTGTGTAAGCACCTATCTGCTGGCCATGACTTTTAAGCGCCATCTACTGAATAGCAGCCCAAATTACAACATCAAAAATATTCTGCTAGTATACATTGCCTGTGAAACCCAGGGCAAGAATCAAGTCACAAAAAATCCCACACAGAGCCTTGGCCCACTGAATGCAAGCAGAAACGAAGCCGAAGCCAATTGACTATAATCAATGTATACCACAGTTAAATTCTCAATGGAGATAAAGAATATAAAAACAAAAGCCCCATCCAAATGGCAGCAAATACAAAAAGGCAAAGGAACACCAGCCCTCTCAGATGGGAAAGAATCAGCACAAGAACTCTGGCAATTCAAAAAGTCAGATGGTCTCCTTACCTTCAAATGAGCACATTAGCTTCCCAACAATACTGCTTAGCCACATTGAAATGATTGAAATGACAGACACAAAATTCAGAATCTGGGTGGCAAGGAAGTTCATCAAGATTCAGAAAAAGCTGAAACCCAATTCCAGAAATGCAAGGAATCCAGTCAAATGATCCAAGAGTTGAAAGATAAAATAGTCAATATTAGAAAAACTCAAACTGAAGTTCTGGAATTGAAAATTCCCTACAAAAATTTCAAAATACAGTTGGAAGCATTCATAGCAGAAGTGACCAAGCTGAGGGAAAAATCTCAGAGCTCAAAGGCTGGTTCTTCAATTCAACTCAGTCAGATGAAAATAAACAAAGAAGAATTTTTTTAAATGAATAAAATGCCCAAGAATTATGGAATTATGTAAAGGGATCAAACCGAAAACTCACTGGCATTGCAGAGGGTGAAAGAGAGAGTAAATAGCATAGACAACATACTTAAAGATATAGTCCACAAAAATTTCTCCAATCTCACTAGAGAGGTTGGCATGCAAATTCAATAAATACAGAGAACCCCTGTGAAATACTATACAAGAGGACCATCACCAAGGCACATAGTTAACAAATTCACCAAAGTACATGCAAAAGAAAAAATCTTAAAGAAAGCTAGAGAGAAGGGTCTGGTTATGTACAAATGGATCCTCACCAGGCTAGCAATGGACCTCTCAGCAGAAACCTTAGAAGCCAAAAGAGATTAGGGACGTATATTCAGCATCCTTAAAGAAAAGAAATTCCAAGCAAGAATTTTGTAACCCACCAAACTAAGCTTTATAACTGAAGGAGAAATAAAATTCTTTTTAGACAAGCAAACATAGGGAATTCATTACAATGAAACCAGTCTTACAAGAGGTTCTTAAGGGAATGCTAAACATATAAACAAAAGAACAATACCTGCTACCAGAAAAGCACACTTAAGTACATAGCTCACAGATACTATAAAACAACTACACAACCAAGTCTACAAAGCATTCAGCTAACATGATGACAGGATCAAAATCTCACATATCAATACTAACTTTGAATTTAAATAGTCTCAATGCAACATGTAAAAGGCATAGAGTGGCAAGTTGGATAAAAAAGTATACCCAACTGTCTGTTGTCCTCAAGAGACCCATTTCTATGTAAAGACACTCCAGAGGTTCTAAGTAAAGGCCTATCATGTAAATGGAAAAAAAAAAAACAGGTTCATTATTCTTATAGCAGATAAAACAGACTTTAAAATAATGACAATCAAGAAGAACAAAGAGGGGCATTACATAATTATAAAGGGTTCAATTCTACAAGACGACTTAAGACATATGCACCCAATGCTAGAGCACTAAGATTCGTTAAACACATTTTTCTTGACCTATGAAAAGACTGAGACAGCCACACAATAATAGTGGGAGACTTTGACACCTCACTAACAGCATTAGACAGACTATAAAGATAGGAAATTAACAAAGAAATTATGGACTTAAACTTGACACCCAATAAATTGAACCTAATAGACATTGACAGAATCTTCACCCAACCTCCACAGAATATACATTCTTCTCATCCACACCTAGAACATATTCTAAGATTGATCACATGCTCAGCCGTAAAGCAAATCTCAATAAATTTGAAAAAATGGAAATCATATCATGCAGACTCTCCAAAAACAGTGCCATAAAAATAGAATTTGACACAAAGAAGATCTCTCAAAACCACACAATTGCATGGAAACTAAGCAACTTACTCCTAAATGACCTTTGGGTGAACAAAAAAGGCAGAAATCAAAAAATTATTTGAAATTAATGAAAATAGAGACATAGCATACCAGAATCTTTGGAATGCGGCTAAACAATGCTAAGAGGAATTTTAAATCACTAAATGCCTACATCAAACAGTTTAAAAGATCTCAGATTAACAATCTAACATTGCACCTAGAAATAGAAAGAAAGAGCAAAGAAACCACAAAGCTAGTAGAAGAAAAGGAATGACTATAATCAGAGAATAATCAAATGAAATTGAGACTCAAAAATCCATAGAAAAGATAAATGAAACAAAAAGTTGGTCTTTCAAAAGAATAAATAAAATTTACAAACTACTAGCCTAATTAACTAAGAAAAAAAGAAACAAATAAGCACAATCA